>NC_000004.12:113012290-113163805 GCF_000001405.40 Homo sapiens
GTAATTGTCTTTTCTGTGCCCTCATTGATTTGGTTATGCATCTGACCTTCCCGATTAAAATCTGCCTGGGAATAACTCCAGAATCTAGTCTTCACAGCTTATCCTGTTGAGAATGCGATAGGTCTTTCCTTTCAGAGAATAAGCTCCATCAGTTTCTCATATCAACTCTGGTTTAAGCATTTGTGATATCAAGGTCACATGTCTGCTGTATACCCTCTTAATTAACCATACCCTTTCTATGGCTAGTGCCTGCGGTGTTTCAAGTGAGATACCAGTTTTTATCAAAGCTTTAGAGTCAAAATGTCAAATCATTGCTGTTTGTGGCAAACATATAATTTTATCACTATATCTGTTAATTTAGCAGAAAAAATATGCAATTTGAGAAGTGTGTAAAACTTTAGCTATAACAATATAAAATTCAAGGATTCTGCCATTATTTACCTGTATTCCAAGAGTCAAATGAAATCCTTCTTTAATTTCTAGCCATACAGAACCTACTTTTATATGTGTTTATTGAATATACATATCACATATTCAAGACCTGGGTGCGTCGTTCATGAGCATGCTATTCCATTGGATCTCACAGGCCTCTCATCCATAGATGCCTATCACTGAGATCTGTATATTTTAGAAATTGGAATGTCAACATTATTCTTCTTAGAATAAGTGAAGGGGCTTTGTGGGCGTGAGTTGTGACTGGTTGCTAAGAATATCTAATCAGGTTGCATTGCTATAGCAACAGTGTTGCTAGGACTTTAAAGTTTCCCTGCAATCAGTTGGAATTCATAAGTGAAAGACATTGTTTATCTCAGTGGTATTTTAAAGTGATCCTAGCTAGCATAAGGCAGGAATCCCATACTTTGGAAAGGAATTGATAGCCCCAATGAACTGCGCTCTAATTTATGATTCGTTCAGAGTGTGTAATCTACAGAACCAGGGTGGTAATTTAGCAGCCTGTTTTTCCAGGTGTTTTGATTCGGTAGTCCCTACCTAGTCAAAGATCATTTCCATCTGACTCTTCCAAGAGTTCACAAGGTTATCATACATTGATAATTTTAAAAGGAAAAGTATCATTTCATATTTCTGTCACAGAGCAGAAACTTGAGGACTCCAAAAATTATATTATTATTTTTGGTTTATATATTATTGGTATTTATGTCTTTCTCAAAATGATAATAGCTCTATTTTTCTAATTATAGTAGTACTTCATACTTATCTAAAATGTAGGCAGTTTAGAAAGCACAAAACAGATAGTTAAAAATCTCCCAGAGTTAACTACTTTTAACATCTTGTTGCAAACATTACATATATCTATAGTTGCTAAATAAAGAGACATAAAACATATATGTGTTTCCTTGGCAGTGGCTTTTCTTAAAGGTAACTTTACATTATATTTTCAAACTGTTTTAAAACTGTCTTTATGTTTGGTCTATTGTGGTTTTGAACATTTTTTTTCCCCTCAAACATACACTCAAAACATTGAAATGGTCAGGAGTTAGTCTTAAAGTCAAAAGCCTCGTGTTTACTAAATATCTGCTTTGTCCTATTCCAAAAGTATTTAAAATATTTAGCTTAAGGATTTCATAAATCACCATCTTAGTGGAACTTAAAATCAGCATTTTTTTTTTCTAGTTTTAGGCCCTAAACTTTTGAGTGAGGGAAAAAAGGTTGTGCAACTGTTTCATTCCAATCTTGTATGTGGAATTTGATTCAATTTAAGGAATTAAAATAACTACATATTTTTAACAGGTTGAGCACTAGAGCCCAGAGAGTTGGTTTTAGGTTGGCTGGATATGGGTTTGCATCAGGCATGGACTATAAGTAGCATTCCCTGTCTGTTGCATGTTATTTTATGGAGACCCCAAAATGAAATGAAAAATAAAATGGAAATGAAAAATAAAAGAGAAAATATTTGAAGGTTCCCTAGGATGGCTGGGTAATCAATAAATATCAAGCTGCTCATAGTCTAAAAGATAAAAAAGCCAACATATTTTGATAATTAAGTATGTACTAGGCACTGTTGTAAGAGTTTCACTATTAACTCACTTAAGCTTTATGATAACCGTATGAAGGTTCTATGACTTGCGATAACCCTAGGAGGATTCTATTATTATTCCCATTCTACAGGTTAGGACACTGAGGCAGAGTGAGGTTGAAAAACTCACCCAAGGTTGCATGACTACCATGTCTATTAAGTCTCAGAGCCAAAATTCAAACCCGGATCTACCTACAGAGCCAGCTCTTAAAACAACTGTGCTTTATTCTAAAGGATACTGGTTGGTTTGTTTGGGGTAAGTTAGATGTATTCACGGCCTATGATTTCATCCACAGCTTTGCTGGCCCAGAATCTTTTTTTTTGTTTTTTGGTTAGCATATCTAGGGGTGCACTATCTTTCTCAAACTCCATCTTTCTCCAAGTTATTGTAAAGATAGTGAGAAAGTGTATATAAAGCATTTAGTACTGTTTCAGTCATATAGTGTTCTTAATATATAGGAGCCAATAATCTCATCATATTGGATTTGGGAGACATTGTCTGTATAGATGTGGATCATAGAGCTTTTTTTTTTTTTTTTTTTTTTTTTTTTGAGACGGAGTCTCGCTCTGTCACCCAGGCTGGAGTGCAGTGGCGCGATCTCGGCTCACTGCAAGCTCCGCCCGCCGGGTTCACGCCATTCTCCTGCCTCAGCCTCCCGAGTAGCTGGGACTACAGGCGCCCGCCACCACGCCCGGCTAATTTTTTGTATTTTTAGTAGAGGCGGGATTTCACTGTGTTAGCCAGGATGGCCTCGATCTCCTGACCTCATGATCCGCCCGCCTCTGCCTCCCAAAGTGCTGGGATTACAGGCGTGAGCCACCGCGCCCGGCCAGAGCTTTTTATCTATTGTTTACAGAGCAGGTTTAAAGATTTTGTTAGAAATAACCCTGGCACATAATAGTGTCTAACTTTGGGTAAGTCCCTAATCTTTCATAAGTCTTCATTTTCTCCTATCTGTGAGAAGATATAATAATACCTAATCTTCAAGGTCGTGATTAAGGATGAGAATAGACTTAGCACTAACCTAAATAAATAATATGACAATTTTTAAATAGTGTGATTAGTTGACATTTCAAAGGGTCTTGCTTTCCTGACCATATGTCCGAACTTTAAGAACATCTACCTTGCAGCTCTCTGTGCCCTGCCTACTGAATCTTCAATTGTTGAACTAAGTGTTATGATTTAATATGTTCATGAGGCCATTCAAAATATTAGTATTAGTTTTCCTTTTTGCTTACTGCCCTTAATTCAACTTAATGAATAACGAAAAATATATGGGTTGTAGGATGACATTGAAGCATGTTCCATTTTCCATGCAAACTTCGTGGTCTAATGATTATTGTTACATATGGTGCCATTTCACAAGGTAATTTAAAAGTAGTATAAAAACCTTATAGATTTTGAATTCTCAATTGTGGTATATTTTGTCTTATCATGTTTTCTACTTACATGAATTTTTGCTCATTTATTTTCTGGAGGGTTGAAGAAAATTCAGCATAAATTTAAGAGGCTTTGCTCAAGGTTTGATGAATAACAAATAGCACATTTGGGGAGACCAGAAAATGATTAATGAAGGAGATAATAATGTGGTCATTAAAAGGCAATATTGGCAAAACATACACAAACTTTTTCAGAAAGAAAGATGTAAAACCATTTGAGAGACTCATCAGAGAAAATTCTCATATGGCTTTTTTTTTCAAAAATTTTTTTTTTCTTGGGATAGGGTCTTACTCTGTCACTCAGGCAGGAGTTCAGTGGCTTGTTCATAGCTTACTGCAACCTCAAATTCCTGGGTTCAAGCCATGCTCCCACTTTGGCCTCCCAAAGTGTTGGGATTACAGACATGAGCCACTGCACCTGACCTGTATTTTTTCAAATTTCCTAGTAGAGGGCAAGTTTCCTGTCATTGGGGGAAAATAGGCAGAGACTGAAAAGGCCTTAGAGAGGTATATACCTCATCTAATATGTGGCCCATAGAATCATTTGTGGACACTTTCAGTACTCCGGAGGCACAAACTCTTATAGGTTCTTCACCCGCCAAGTTTCTGCTTGGCAGTTTGTGCCTATGTGCCAAATACTGATGCAAGACAGTTTTGGTATAATGCAAAATTATCACATATTTTTGGCAACTATCCTTTCCACTCTGAGCCCTCCTGCCATCTCTTCTCTGCTCCAGGGATGCTCTTCTCTAGGTCTCACATTCTTCACTGAACTGCAACCGTAGCCTTGCATAGGGCTAAAAAGCTGATGAAGGCATTAGCTGATTGTGTAATTCCTCCCTCCACCTCTTGTGACAAGAGTGTTAACCCATCTCCCCCAACATAAGTTTTGTCCTTTTTTAAAGAGCTACCTTCAAGACACAAAGGAATGAAAATAGACAATAGGGAAATGAATCCAAGGCAGGGGTGCAGAAAGGAAGCTTGATTCTGGTTTGTAGAGACACATTCTACTGGAAAGGCTCTAAAGAACTACTGAGGACAAGAAGATGTGAAGAAGCCACTTTGCTGCTGCCATTATACCCTGCCCTCTGAGGCTGAGGCTGAGGAGCATGGGTTATCCTTGACTGCCCTACCTCCCATCAACTTGGAGTGCTTGAGGGGTCACTTCTCCATACTCTGGCCTGAATACCTTCTCCAGCAGGTGAAGGTGAATTACCGCTATCATCTACTATCCCGTTCACTTCATTTTTATGCAGTATACACTTAGAAATGTGGTATACCACATGCAAAAATGTTATGAACACCTACAGTGAATAGACAGTTCTTAATTTAACTTAAAGGTATTTCAAGAAGGTTTGTAGCTAATCTTTGACCTCTTATATATGTTGCTGTATTTTCTCTGTAAGGGTTTGTTTATCTTTGTGTTTTATAGAGTTACATATGAAAATTATTTTATATTCCTTGAGTCCATTATATAGCTTAATTTTCCCAAGAACATGTTTCACTTTCAAGAAATGTGTGTGTAGAAACTCTGATTCGGCCACTTATCTATTTTGTGAACATTATGGTTGATGATATAAGCTCTACAGAATTTTTTTTAATTAAAAAAAAAAAAGATGAAGCCCAGACTGCTCCATGCATGTCTTTGATATTTTTTGTTTGAAGAAGAAGCTCTGCAAGACTGAAGCCTCTACTTTGGCCTGTCATAAATAGGAAAAGCTAAACCAACATTGCAGAAATTAGAACTATCATACATTTTCTGCAGACTCTATAATTTAGTCAACTGACTCTCCCTTTGTGAAGTATGCTGCAACTACAAATCTTTTGGAAACCCATATTATTTGGGTTCCATCCAAACCTTGGATTTGCATCTATCATTCACACGCAGAATTTTGTATAGATTTTTGATGTGCCAGTTGTTTTAAGTGCACTTGAAAATGGATTAGAAAAACTTGGCAAGTGAAGGTAAAACTTCAGCTGCAGCATACAATTCTTATGGAAGTTTCTATTAAGTAGGCACTCTGACCCCAATGGTATGTGATGCAATGGGATTCATACCAATTACTCTGAAAGGCTTTTTCTCCTTACCTTTATTTTAGTGTCAAATAACCCATCACATCATACTTGATCCTCTGATATTGAAAACATTCATTTTCTGAATAATTGGATGTGGTGGGTATAAGAGCAGAAGACTGCTGAAGAACTCCTTTTGTGGACTTAATGAGATACAAAAAAGAAAGTTCAAAGTAATATGTGTGAAAGCAATGGGAATTCATCGCAATTTTTGATTATACTTCCCTTGAAAAATAACAAGATGAAATGTTTAGTGCATTAGATTTTTAAAGAGCTTTAGTCGTCAGTCAGTCTTGATGTCTGTGTGTTTAAACTGACAAACCACTGTTCTGTAGCCGGAGGCAACTGGCTGAAATTAATGATATAAAACACAGGTAACTTGACAGGAAGTCATTTTACAAATAGTGGTTGTGACTTGGAGAAAATTTGAAATTAAGTCTATCATGGAGTAAGGGCCATATTTTGAGAGATATTAGTCTTTGACCATCAATCAAAACACCAGCTTACAAATAAAATGCATGATTTTACTTTGGTAGCAAAATCTCAAAGGAACCATCGCGTAAAGAATCAATGTCATAGGAGTTGGTCATACTCTCTTAGGAGAAAAGCCTATGTCAATGGAAGATAAATTAAATTTTCTTTACTATTTGACAGCTTGCTAGTTCAGAAATCTAGAGTTTAGACTTAAGGTTAGCATCCATTTGCACTTTTGCCAAATATGGTATGTGAGATGACTTTTCAGGGTGTAGCCAGGATCAACCAAAAGTAAAACTCTAAAGAATATACCAATTCTAGCACCTGCATGGTTTCTCCTCCTATCATCCTGCAGAGGCACAGGAACCTGAGCATGGGCGGTGTTTCTCTAGGTTGTTCTTGATCATGCTTCAGCCAAGGGATGTAACAACATCCTTCAGATCTTCTTGAAGGGCTAATTTGCAGGTAGTGTCATTCTTTCACTTTTAATTCCTTGAGATACGGATAAACAGACTTGACTTACTGCTTCTGAAAGGTCGCTGATTCTTGCAACAATATCAATTTCTTGTGTTAATTCTATAATCCTCTGTGGTCATCTAATATGCTTTTTATCTAATTTGACACATAATTCTAAGGTGAAGCTGAACCTCCTCAAATATTGGATCCCTCCCCAAATTAACCATTTGAGGAGAACAACTATGCAACTTCCTTTTTGAGCATTTATGATAAGATTTTAATGCTTTTATTTAAGGTCGTAATAAAAGGGGTATGTACATACTTACATGTAAAGATACAGGTATGTTCAGGTTATATGTATAAAAAGGCTAGTTAATAATCTACTGCTAGTGGTTTTTAACATTTTAAAATATCCCATTAACATATTTTTTATTTCTCAATAATATTTAATTAAAAGTTCTTACCAATTCTCTATCACTACACATAGGATGAAATGGAAACACAGAGCGTGTTTTCTGACCACACTTGTAAATAGAATTATAAGCATAACTTTTTTTGTACTTAAAGTTTGCCCTAGGCATATACAAGTCAGTTCTTCTAAGCAAGATAGTTTCGGTTAAATGTTGTTATTTGCTTTTGGATAGCCTTTGATCATATGGACAGAAATAAATCAGGTATAATAAAACACACACAAAGTATTCCAGAAAAAATTGTATTTGTTTTTGACTAATAAGTAAATACAACTATTTTTCTTGGTTTGTATTAGTTTTTAGATATTTTTGAAAGAATGGATTCAATCTTTTAAAAATTAAGAGGTAACTGATTTATGAACACAGATTAACAATCATTTTGAGACATTAAAAATACCATCTGTACATGAGAAAATTATAATGGTAATCAACAAAATTTCAGTACTTCCCAGAATCTGGTTTTGAAACTTTATTATGTTTTAGGGGAAAAGCTCTCATTTTTCTGTTTGCTTAGATGAGTTAGATCACTCATTTAAAATCTGAAGAAGTCAAATTATTTTTTATAAAGATCCAGAATAATAGTGTATGTATTTCTAAATAATCTGAATATGTTTACATTGGTTTTTTTTTTTTAAACCTAGGCTAGGAAGGGATTACCTATTATCTAACAAACATAGTGCAACTGTATAGATAAGGGGCAAACTTCAAAGATTGGATATTGTTTATTATGTGAAAGATACATAGGTCTTGCTATGATTTGGAAGTCCTAGGTAACTGGTTAGGCTTTTCAGGATTGACAGCAGCTGTGCAGAAATTTTGTTAAATGCTTATCATTTTAAAAAGCTGTATTCAAAATATTTCTAATTTTCACTATTTTTTAATGTAAATGTTTTTGAGAGTCAAAGAAGATTCTATACTTTTACTTATGAAGCAGTTTGTTGTTGTTTGTTCATTTCTTTTTTTGGTATGGGGTCTTTCTCTGTTGCCCAAGGCCGGAGTATGTAGTGGTGCAATCACAGCTCGCTGCAGGCTTAAACTCCTGGTCTCAAGCCATTTTTCTACCTCAGCCTTTCTAGTAGCTGGGAGTACAGGCAAATGCTACTGCCCCAAGCTAATTTATGTTTTATTTTTATTTTTTGTAGAGACAGGGTCTCGCTGTGTTGTGCAGGCTGATCTCTAACTCCTGGGCTCAAGCTATCTCCCCACTTTGCCTCCTCAAGTGTTGGGTTTATAGGCGTGAGCTATGGTGCCCAGCCTGAGGCAGTCTTAACGATAATTTGTTTTTTCTGATCAAAATCTACCAAAATGGCCGGCTGCGCTGGCTCACGCCTGTAATCCCAGTACTTTGAGAGACCGAGGTGGGTGGATCTCTTGAGGTCAGGAGTCCAAGACCAGCCTGGCAAACATGGTGAAACCCCGTCTCTACTAAAAATACAAAATAGCCGGGCATGGTGGCATGCACCTGTAATTCCAGCTACTCGGGAGACTGAGGCAGGAGAATTACTTGAACCCAGGAGGTGGAGGTTGTAGCAAGCCAAGATCACGCCACTGCATTCCAGCCTGGGCGACAGAGTGAGACTCTGTCTCAAAAAAAGAAAAAAATCTACCAAAACAAGAAAAGAGCTTAATGAATGTATTTGAAAAATAGAATAGTGTAGCAGTCCATTTAGAGGATAAGGATATAAAATCAGGGTATTGCTTTGTGTTCAGGAAACAGAGAAAATAAATGATTTTTCTTTCTTTTTAGACTTTTTCACAGATATTCATTTGTTATGAGGCAGGGGCTATAGCATTAATTAATAAATAATAACAGCATGGAGCATATTCTTTGGAATGCAGTTCATGGCTTCTTGCCTGGGACAGCAGAACAGCTGTTTCTGCTAAATTACTGGAATGTGAGAAGCAGTGATGTAAACCCTTCAAAAGCACAGAGAGGGAAGGGCTTTTTTTTCTGTCTCTTGAATTCCAATGAAAAGAAGCTTTTATACACAGAGAATTCAGAGTGCCCTGTACTCTTGGAACATAACATTTCTTCTCCCTTGCATATTCCCATTATTCAGCTAGGTCGTTAGTGTGAGTTGTTTTTAACAGCTTCATGGGTCTCTAATGATCAAGCTGAGATCAAGTTTGCCAAAATGACTGACCACTTATTCCAGTGATGGATCTAATGTAGTCTCTCACTTTCCACTCTTGTTTCAAGACAATATGGCTTTAAGTAAGAATTTTCCATATATATAAGTACGTATGTGTATGTGTATGTATATATTATGTGTATATATACACACACACACCCACACACAAACATATATATATATATATATATATATATATATATATATATGCCAAGGAGCCTTATTTTGGGGTGTCGTGTTCTGAGCCCCGACACTGTCTTTATAAGGAGATAACTTTCTGAAATATATGCAAGTATTTATGATTCATTGAATGAGATATTTATTACGCATTTATGAAAACCTCTGTACTTCTCTATGTGTTTGTTAGTTAATTCGTGTTACATATAAATATGCATTAAGTAATCTGAGCCACAGCTTTTGAGGAGCTTGGAATCTAAAGAATCTAAATGGAAAGAGACAGAGATGAAATTGTTTTAAGAATTAACTATGTTTTAAAATATTAACAATAACGAAAGTAATGCTTAAAGAGCATAACCTTCAGCTTCCCACTTTGAAGCTGGCAGTCCTAGCATGGCTTTCTTCATCGTCCATTTCCCTCTTTTTAAAACCTTCAGAGCCTTTAAATGTTTCCCCCATTTGGGTAATTTTATATTAATATGTAAACCTTGACATAAAAATTTGGGGATTCTTTGGTGATTAGGGGTCTAGCAAGTTTGCTTCTACACACAGAGAGAGAGACAGACCCTACCTGGGAAGGGAAAATAGGGCAAATTATCAATTTGTCCAATTAGTGTTGCTGGACATATGTATTTGATAATACAAATAAATGTCGAGACTAGTATTTCTTAGCAAATTCAGCCACACAATTCCCATCTTTTATGAAATGCATCCTTTACCAGATTGGAAACTAAGAGGAAAAGCATTACTTCTATTAAAATCAATTCTAGTTTCCCTTCCTAAAATTGGGCATTACTTATCTACATCATATTTGGTACGCAATTCCAGGATAATCACATTTTCCAACTGGACAGGGCTCTAGTTCAAATGCTTCACCTTTCACAGTGACTTAGAATGGTTTAGAGATTTATCCAGTGCCTTGTTCTTGGTGAGTCTAGCATCTTAGTCGCATCCTGTAAGCACTTGATCATTGCCTGCCACTAGACACTGAGTGTACATGGAATTTTAGGGTATCGTTCATTCATTTACAGCTTACCATAATAGGAAAATTTAGAAAGTAAAACTATAATTGCTACCTATTCTATTAATCTTGCTGACATTCTAATTCACTTACCTTGAAGAATTTAAGCCAGCAGATTTGGTGTCATAAGAATCATGGACTATTTTTAGCAAAGACTTCATATCACTTTTCATTGACTGGATGATGCAATGATGAGACTTGAAAAATTAGCCAAATTCCCATCATTGTGTTTTATCATCCTGATGGAAGCAATGCTGTTGAATTTCAAGAGGTTAGCATAATCAATACAATGAAGTTACAGCAAAAGGGGAGATGTCTCTATTATTGAAGTTTTACAAAAATATTAAATGTTTGGATTGATTTTTTTTTTAAATTGCACACACATAACTCTGTGGAGTGTCTAATAGTCAAAAATAGGTTGAGTGTGATCAGGATAAATAGCTAATGCATGTGGGACCTAATACCTAGGTGATGAGTTGATAGGTGCAGCCAACTACCAGGGCACATGTTTACGAATGTAACAAACCTACACGTCCTGCACATGTATCCTGGAACTTAAAATAAAATAAAATATTTTAAAACTAGGTTGAGTATGAATGAGAGGGAAAACAGAAGTGAGCCAGTTCATAATTATAGGCTAAAGATTATAGTGAAATCAGATCACATCTTACATTTCACATTATTTTTTCTGTACTTAGACATTAAGCCCTCATTTCGTTTCACAAACTTCCCACCAATGATCTAACCCAGCAAGATTCTGTCCCTGCATGGGCAGCCCCAGCTACCTCAGCCCCGTCTGTGTCCACCTCCCACCCTCCAGTCCATTCCCTTGGCCTCCTCCATCTTTCTCATGCCCATCATGCATGCTCTACCCTTGGGTCCTTGGTGCAGAGAGGTCTACTCTGCCTGGAATGCTCTATATAGATATGCTTGTGGCTGACTCTCTGATTCCTTTCAGGTCCCTGAAGAAATATCATTTCTCAGAGGTATTGTGTCTGACCACAACATCTAAGATAGCACCACCTCTGCCATAAGATAGCACCACCTCTGCTTATCATATGTTGCCTGTATCTCCACCGGCAACATTTCATCTTCATTTATTTAATCGTTGTTTTCTGTCTTCATGTTCATGCACTACACCATAGGCTGTATGACAGCGGGGTCTTTGTTTTGTTCATTGCAACATCTACAGCACCTACATCAGTTTCTGACACTTAGTGGATGCTTCATAAATAATTGAGAGATAATCAATGAATTTTCTTCACGAGAAGATAATTTTTTTGATTTAATCGTATGTATTTAAAACCCTTTCTGTAGAAGACATGCACAGATTGGGGGAACATATTGCAGAACACATTCTTATTGGGGACCCCTCTACACTACAAGAAGATAATTTTGAAAGGCAACAGTGAAGGAAACAGATAAAGTCCCTTTCTTCCTAGGGCTTACAAAATTTGTTTTGTGTGAAAGGTAGACTTCAATTTAAACCTTCCATTATAGTAATGTTACGCATATTCTAGTTCATTAGCACAGTACATAGGCTCATATTAGGCTTAAAGAGACCAAGAAAGAGAATAAAAACCAGAAAAGAATATAGATAAATTCCTTAGTTTGTTAACAGCATGAAATTATATATTTATCAAGAGAGCATGCTCCTCCATCACAGAGGCAGGGTTTAATAAAGAATAAAATATGTTAATATTTTACTCTTAAAGATTACTAGTATACTAGACACTCTCTCAGATAGACACAGGTGAGATAGCCTGTTATTGAAATTTAGGATATTAGATTTATTTTTCCTCATTAAAATTTTTCTCTCTCTAGTTACTTAATTTGTCAATTTGACTGAGAGAAACAAAAATTTTTAAAGGATACAAAAATTTTCCTTGATCTACAAAAATAAACACATGAGACACTATTTTGTTTTTTAATCTAGCACTGTCAAGGGAATACTTCTTATAACAAACTGTACCTGCCAGAAGTTTTGTAACTAAGCAATAGTCACATGGTCTGTGGCTAGCAGGATAATTGCAAAGTACTTAAGGACAAATCATTCCCTTGTGTCTTTGTAATGACTGTATAACTTGTTCCTTAAAGACTCCAATGGCATTATGCAAATTTAAATACACTTCTACTTCCCACTTACAAAGAGCATACAATGAATGCTATATATGAATTATTGTTTGACGCTAGAAGATAACACAATTTAGGTTATTGGTTCTATGCGTTTGTTAGTCACAAAATTTCATGTCCTGTGATAGTGATGAAAAGTAGAATGTTTTATTTAAATATTTATCTTTCCCATAAAAAATTTTCTTTTAGATAAATAAAAAGAAGTCTGTCTTTACATATTATAACTACCTATTCGTGTGAATTTTTTAATATAATATTTCATGGTATTTTTGGCACCTCTCTTTTTGTAGGATACCATTGATTCATTACTCTAGGAGTTTTCTTTTCCACTACAATTGTAAAAAAGCTAAAATTCTGAACATGATCATCTTTTTTTTTCTAATTCTTACATCCATAATTCATGTACAAAGTTCTCCTTAATAGTCTTCTAACTAGTCATATTGATCTTTTCTGCCCCCTGCCCCAATTTTCCTTAAACATAACAGCAGTGTTCTATCTATAGACACCACTCTAAACATGTTGCTGCTCTTTTGTTTTTAACAAGGTAACATGTACAAAATGGCTACCTTCATACACGATGCCCCTCACCCCACACAATGCACATACTGTGATGTAAAAATTGTGACAGAGGAAGAAAGGTTGTATATGTGGATTTGGGGAATCTGCCTGGGTGTCCCCATATTCCATTTCTTTTCTATTACTCCCTCCACACACATTTATTTTGAAGTAGGCCCATCTCCACTAGTATTCTTTACTTTGTCCAAACAAATGTACGTTTCTCTTTGTGCCTTATGGATAAACTCCAAATTCCTGGCACATAATGTTCCTTCTATTCAAAACCTTGCTAAAAATCAATCTCTTGACACTTTCTAAGGCTTCTCTTCAATCATGCCTTCATTCCTTCAAAATGAATGCAACTCTCTCCATATGCAGTTGTAATTAGCTTTGTACATTATGTTTCTTGGCTTCTTGTGAATGGCTAATGAGTACCTCTCTCTTTTTCTCTGTGAAATTTATAAATTTAAATTGCTAAGGAGATCTGAGGGTGGAGGGGAAGGGGGTCTCACTCTGAGATCAGAAATTGTTTTGTGAAAAAGCAGCTTTTGAGAGATGTAGAGGTATGGGTAGTATAACTAATGTGGAGGAATGGCTGCTATACCTGATAGCTATGTCACTTTAAGAAGTAGGCAATGATATAAAGGTGAACTTATGTAGATTATGTCACTTTCATGGGCATTTTAATTTTCTAGTTTATAAAATGTAAAACAGAAACAGCAGGTTAAGTAAATAAATGAAACTGGTTGGGCCCAAGAATTGCTTGCTTTCTTGGTCATTTTGCACTTTGGCATTCAATAGACAAAGCGTATATGGTACATTTATTTTCCCTCTTTACTATAAGGAAACAACACAAATGCCGTAATACGTGGCCACGGACACTTGGGACCTGCTATGTGGAAAGCAAATGCCCTATTTAAAAAGGACCGCTGCAATTTAGTTCTATCTGTTGTCATGTAGGAATGGGAGCACAATATTGACAGACTGGAGTTTTCAGAAGAAGTAAGCAGATTTTTATATGAGATCTCCTGACTTCTAAATGTGAATTCTAACAAAACCCAAACCCCAACCATGTGGACTGAATGAAACACAACAAAGCCATATCCGGCCCACAGATTGCTGTGATATATGTCCTGAAGATCCTTTCTGTGCCAGAGAACTATGATTTTAAATTCCTTGATAACAGAAACCGTGTCTACTCTTTCCTCTTCAACTATATCAACAAAGCATTTTAACTGGAGATCAACAACTGATCATCAGATATTTTTATCACATCAAAACTTTCATTGGATTGAATTTTTGTAGGAAATTTTGACCTATAGAGGTATTTTCAGTGGACAGGGAGCATTGGTAATTCTGAGGACAACTATTTATAAGAAAAGGCTCAAATGCTGAACTGTGGAACATAGAAAAGATTTAGTAGCATGCAAAGAAAATAGATCGAAGTAGCTGGAGAGAATGGGATCATGTCTGGGAGTGCAGGACGATGAGTAATCAAGGAAAAGGGAGTTATTCATAATAGTCAGCTCTGCTGACTGGCCTTTTGAAGGAAAAAAATAAAAAATGATTAGTATAGGGAAGAAGCAATTTGATTTGGCTTAGAGGAGGTTATTGGAAACCTTGGAAAGGGTGGCTTTTTTCAGTAGTTGGGATGGAAGCCAGACTGGAGAAGGTTAAAGGGATTAGAGGTGAGAAACTGGGAGATCCAGAGGTATGCTGCTTTTCCAGGAGGTTGGACACAAAGGAAGAAGGGCTGGGGTGAGAGTGGAGGAATCCATCTGTTTCAGTGAAGATGGCGTGCTGGATATGGGGAATACCTGTGCATGCTTGAAGTTGGATGGTGATACATCCTCTTCATTGTCCTTGGTATCTTGGAAAGTAAGTGATTGTCTCCTTTTGACTTGCTTATCTTGCATATGCGAACCCCTCTATGGTGTGTGAATAAACTATTTTGATAGTTTTTGGGTGGGATGATTAATAAAGTTATGACTCATTATTTGTGTATATTCAGAAGTTCAGTACCATCGCTAACTCACAGATTACAGAATATACGCTATCTCTCCTGTGTCTGAAAATCACTCTAGTCTGTAAGCACCTCCAGATCCCAGGAATGAATCCTTAAAGGCAGGTTATGCTTCAATAAAGTTACTGTGGGGTCAGTCTGAGCCAAGAGTGTTCTGTGATTATTTTTGCTGATTGTTCAGAACCTGATCTCTGCCTGTTTACCTGCAGCCCTTCTACTGAGTTCAGTGTCTGTCTTCTTCCTGGGGCCACCATTATTGGAGCGGAACCATATGCTTCTGCCCTGGAGACTGCAGCATTATATCAGGATGCCAAGAGCTAAGGAAGAGCTCATGTCCCCAGGTGTCTTACAGCCATTTCCTTTTATCCCTATTGAATGTTATGGCACACTTCCATGTTCACAAATTTAAATATTCCTGCTGGCCTATTATTTGCAGAAAATTAAACGTAACTGCTGATTGGGAAGTATATAAATAAATATAAATAAATAGAAATCTATCTATTTGTTGAAATTTTCTCAAAAACAAAGCTCACATAGAGGAAGGAGACTAGTGGCTTTATTTAGAAATGGTGATTTTGGATGAAATGATTGATTTTTTTGTTTACAGTACACTATCAGGTTATGTAACATGGTGACATAATTTTGTTTACGTTAAAAATAGCAAAATAAGATGGTGTAAAATGTGCATTCCCCTGACTTCACCATTTATTTATTTCAAATATTCTTCTACTCTGGTAAAGCTATTAAAATAGGTGACTGATGATAATCCATCAAACAAACATTTATTTAACACACACTGTGGATTTTGCCTTGGTGGCAATGGTAAACAATTTGCACATTTGCTTGTATCTAGTAGGGGATGTGAGCAATTAAGCAACTGCAATAGAGTGCAGCAAGTGCCATAAAATACTATGAGAGCACAGAGTAGGCAAGCACCTGATCCAGTGGGACAGAGGCTTCTCAGAGGTAATGACCTTTGGGATGAGACCTGGGGGAGGTGTAGAAGGTAGCCAAACAAATGTGGTTCTGAACAGAGGGGAAAACAGGTGAGACTGTCCAGAGGTCAGTCAGAACACAGCAAGTTAGAAAAATGCAGAGAACACTTGTTATCTCTCGTTCATGCAACAAACACACATATTAAGCACCTATGTTGTGCCAGGCACTGTGCTAGGCACTACGCAAAGGTGACTGTTTCATGATGTTTACTATGCAGTCAGGAAGCTGATACACTAAATAATTGTAGGATGGTATATAAGCACTACAATAGAGACATGTTCTAAGGACACAGTGGAACAAAGGAGTAAAAGCCAATTATCTTTGGAGGTATGAAGGAAGGCTGGAGATTTATTTTGCAACAACTCAAGTAAAAGAGGCCCTTTTTTGGTTTAGGGGCTTAATTTATAAATTGACCTTGTCCTACTAAGATAACATGTTTGCTTTGAAGCAGGTTTTGGGATAAGAAACCTAAAATAAATGAGAAGAATGATTTTATCTGAGACAACAAAAAATGCGTATTGTTTCCACAATGAGGAAAAATGATTCACTAACTCCCGGGTTGCAGGAAAGATACCCCAAAGACCATCTACTTCCATTACATATTGCTGTATGTGAACCCAATATACCCAGTCTCCTCAGGTAGGGGATTGAAGTACTCAGTCAACTCAATCATGGTGTATTAATATAAGCTAATATCTTGGAATAACATGTTGCTACGTGTTCTGTTAGTGCAACTCAGCTTCTAAAGACCTGATCATATCTGGTGTCAACACAATAGAGTGGATTTAGAAGATAAAAATAAAAAGCTGGATTTAGAGTAACTGAAAAAACTCCAGGCACTTTGAACATATACATAAGTGTGGATTATATATTACTTGCTATTAATTCTTAGAAAAATAATATTTTAAGAAAGCAAAATTATTCTAAAGGAAAGACTCATGATAGGAGGATTCGTTTTTTGTTTTTGTTTTTTTTGTTTTGGAAACAGGGCACTCTGTCATCCAGGCTGGAGTCAGTGGCATGATTACAACTCACTACATCCTCTAACTCCTGGGCTCAAGCAATTCTCCTGCCTCAACCTCCTGAGTAGCTGGAACTATAGGCACACACAACTTCACCCAGCTAATTTTTATTTATTTATTTATTTTTTGTAGAGATGGGGTCTTGCTGTGTTGCCCATGCTGGTCTAAAGCAATCCTCCCACCTCACCCTCCCAAAGTGCTGGGATTACAGGCGTGAGCCACTGCGCAGCCAGATTTGGGTATTTTTAAAAGATAGCTATAAATGAACGTGGCCGGAGTTCTTCTTTAGAAAATGAACCTTGAGGCCTCAAGAAACTATAGTAATTAGTGGGTCTGAGGCCCACCAAGATCCAATGAATTGAAGTGAACTGCTCAGAGTTTTATACCCACAGAGAGAGCCCGACCTATTCGTCTCTTCTTGTTCTTGCCAGTGCTTGCTCTCTGTCCATCCATACCTCAGAATGACTGACTTATCTCGACGGCCAAAAACACCACTCTCAAAATGCCCTAGTAGATTAAAGAGGTACAGTTATGGAGATGTCTATTGACCTTTTCTTAAATTTTGTGAGAGAAACAATAAAACATGAATACCTGGTCATTTGATTAGCATCCATACAATTTTACATGGTTCTCATTGTTCTATTTGACATTGGAATGTATAATCTGCTTTACTTTTTAATTTACTTGCTAATAAGATATAGTTTTCCACATGAAAAGTTAATAATTATATTTATTATCTAAAACAAAAATGCAAATTAAAAATCTTGTGTACTATGTGAATTATAAATACCATGAAAGGGCAACAAAATAGGAGTGTATAGAAGGGTAATATTGAAAATGAAGTGTGTGTTTCATCTGTAGAACTAACATAAAATCAGAAAAGAGTCAATTGTTTATATAACTAAAAAAAACCAAATAATATATTAGGGAAGGCTCAACCATTTAGAGAATGGAATGTCTTATGTGTGGCTCACTTGATATCTTCTTAAACAAGGTGGTCATCTCTAGCCTGAATGAACTGTTTAACAAGGAGAATGTTTGACACAAGAACCTACGTAATTTTCCGTAGCTCAATTCCTTACTGATGAGATTTCAAACAACAGGACTGGTTTGGGGCTACCTGATTAGGAGTCTAGAATATGTCTGTCAGATTTGTCCTTGATGCTCAAATTAGGTAAGATCTCAAAAGATAGAAATAAAACTAAAGTAGTTTTAAAAGCAGAGAATAAAAATCCTATACAGAAAAGTGTGATACCTTTTGTAATGTAAATGCAGGATTGGACTCAGTGCGAGAAATGAAGGAAAAGAACAGGAGGAAATCTGTTACAAGCTGAATATGGGTCAGTAATTCACTGCCATTGTTTAAAAAAATCTGCATCATGATGACTATGGCTTATATTATTTCTATGTTTGTGAATGGCCAAGGTACTCTAAGAACTAAAAGGTAAGACTAAAGAATGTTAAAAAAATAATCCAAATAATAGGAAAGAAAGGAAAAGAAGGCCGTAGATGAGTACAGGTTTAAAACATTTCAAAAGATGAGCTGAAAACTGCCTTGTATAGACACTTTTAAGAATAGGAAAAGATTTTTAAGTGAGGGGGATGTTGATCATTTCCACTTTATATTGAGATGGAAGAAAAATGGGCTTGGTGAAAGGAAAAAGACATTTTGGTGGGCTATCAGAGTGATAGATATTATGAGAGACAAAGAGAATAGTAAAATGACCATCCTGGAAAGCTTCACTAAGATAATGAATGGTCATTTTTCTTTAAGATTTAAGATATTTGCTTGCTTGAAAAATACTTAACAGCTGACTTGAATTGTCTGCCAGTTTTGTGACTCTAATTTGAAGTTTGCCAAAAACTCTTTAAAATATATTACAAATTTTAATTTAAAATAAATGGAGGGAAGAGCTATACAACATTAGTATCTGTGAGACTCCTATTAAGATGCATTAGAAAAAAATTACTTTTATAATAATTTATTAATTGGCTCAAAATTTCTCTTTATTGCATTTTTCTGGAGATATTTATCTTTCCCTGAACCCATTCATTCATCTTGCCTTGGATCTATTTATTTAAGGACAGAGAGGATGCCGTGGGGACTGTTGCAGGGTAATGGGCAGATGGGCTGACTTCTTGCTTATTAGTAAGCTGGGATGATCTGACTCTAAACTTCTTCCTAAGGGATAGAGGCACTTAAAATGAGGTTTACTCAATCATGGAAGTATAATTAAAGTAAAGATATTATTTCATCTCCCTCCCTCCCACCCCATTTCTATTTTTTTGGTATTCTTGTTTGACTTGATGACTTAGTGTTATCACTGATGAAACCTTAAGTAGACCAGTGGTTTGTTCTTTTGTTCTTTTGTTATCAGGATGGGACAGATGTAACTGCAGGGTTCAGCAGGAGGTAGCTAGGAGAAGCTTCTCATTAAACAAGAATTGAGAAATCCCATCTGAACACCTCTTCTCCTATTATTTAGTAAATGGAGAACACATGATAAATAAAACAGAGACATTCTTAATATCAAATGCAAGGGTATGCAAAACCTGCAGGAAACTCTATGTGTGCTTTTCTTCTTTTTTTCCATCTTTTTCTTTTTGAAAACAAGACATTTGTATTCACTCAAGTTAATCATAGTGTGTTTTCAGGTAATCATAATTAGATGTAATTACTGTGTGGTCAAGTTATAGCTTAACTCCTCGATGAGCCCAATCGAGTACTTTAGACATAAAGAACTTCTCAAACCCAAACATCCCAAAAATCCTTGACAGGAACGCTAATGCTATCATAAATGAATCAAAGCATTATTTTGATGCTAATTAACAGTTCTACTTACTGTACCACTCTAAGGCTGCACACACTGTTTGAAAAATATATGCAACTTAAATCATAAGCTTGTTTGTTTTTTGAGAGAGAAAGAGATATAGAATGTTTTGGATTCATGTCTTCTTTTGTTGATCTAATTTTTGAATTGGTTTCTAATATAGAAAAGCTGTTGTTAGATGGCGTTGTCCCAGACTTGGGGCACAAACTGTGTGGAGAGCCAAGGAAGGGCATGGGTTAAAAATACAGAATGTGAGGCAGTGGATACTGTCTTGCCTCTGAGTCCTTTTCCAGTGCCGGGTGTTCTTCATTCCCATCTTCACCCTTTTAACTGTTATTACAGGGGGATTCCATGAGGAGAGGGTAAACCCTTAAATTTCCGAGTCTGGTACTGTTGGTGTTGGGACTCTGGAAACAGAGTCTCAGGAATGATTATATGGTCCTCACATCTTTCACTTAGCAATGAGTAAGTCTGTAACATGACTTTGAGGTATTGCCAAAAAGCAGCTACTTCTGTTATTCAAAGTCAGTGATACCAGTGAAAGATTTAAAAATCACTTTAGAGAGAAGGAAAGGACTCTTTTACAATTAAATGCGTTGTATTTTTAAATATATTATTCCAAGAGACAGTCACCCTGTAGTGTTTTCCCCCTGATGGGATAGTGCTCCTAGGCTGAGTTAGAATACTCACTCAGGTGCTTGTAGATAGATCTTTTCTGAAAATATCTGCTATCAAGCTTTTAGATGAAACATTCTTCTACCCAGGAAAGCATAGAGTTTTTCTAGAGAAATCCGATTTTGGAGTGAGCTTTAGGAGCTCCCAGCTGACATTCACTATATCATAAAATAGCTTCCAGTATCAGGAAAAGCATGTGCGTCCATGTGGAATCACAAGCACTACTCCATTTGTCCACATTGGGCCGTTTAAGTTGGATTACACTTAAGAAAAATTAAATGGTCTCTCTCCTGTATTTGCAAAACTACATATTACCTGGCCTTAGGAACTTGATAAATAGGGACCAAGGAATACCATGTTGCCACCAGTGTAGCATAGGATAACATCTCTATTTTGTATTACATGAGGACAGAATGGCTGAGTGTGTACCAGGATTACAACCTCAGAAGTCTTAACTATAGTGTAACCTTCTTATTTTAGAAATTAAGACACTGCAATTCAGGAAAAGTAAGTTGCCCATGGTTATAATCCAATTAGTGGTCGATCCAGGAATGGGATTCTTATGTTCTGCCTCTCCAATAAAGCAGACAAAAAAGCTCAAGGTCTGTAATGGCATGATAGGGGAAAAGTGCTCTTTAAGGAATTAAATCTAGGAAACACAGAGAAATACCCAAACAAAACAAAACTCGTCACACATCAAATGATAAGTTAGTGTTATTGTCACATGCCTAGTTATATCTTTGGAGAAAAGAGATTTATTTCTCTTATAATAGTTACAATTTGAGAAAAAAGTGTGTGTGTGCGTGTGTGTGTGTGTATAAAGTATCAAACTGCAAATTGGTCAGATGGAATTTGTCACTTTTATTACTGCCGTTATCCAATATTATGAAGAATCCCATCCATGTATGCAACTCTTTATGATAAAAAACAAATGGATAGTTTCCATTTAACTAATCTAACTGCCCACTTGTTACTAGCAGTCGACTCCCATATTGACAAACTCCAGCAATCACCTGCCTTGATTCTCTCCTTCTACATTGCCTCACTCCTACACCATAGATGCCTGGCTGTCTGAATTATAGGTAGAACTGTCTTAACTATCTTGAACAATGTGTCTTGGCTTGCTGGCTGAGCCTCCACTGCCATCCAGGTCTCCAGACCCAGTGGGTAGATCTGCTCTTTTCCTGCTTGCTTCATTTTTCTGTATGTTGCCATGCCCCGTTAGCTAATAGAATAGAATGAGTAATTTGCTGGGAATTACCTAAAAAGTTCAAGAGGAAGAAGCTCTGACTCCCAGGAAGACCTGGGTTAAATATTGGAGTAGGAATACCTTGAAGATGGTTTGAGATAGGATTCTTGATAGGAACACCTTAAGGATGACGATTATATCAAGAGCGGAAATCAAGATAAGTTTTTACTGGATCACGAGTGTTCCTTAGATTGGCAAAAAAGAGGAATCTGCTGTTTGTTTATATTTTTATTTAGCTTATAACCTGATGTAGTTTTTCAATTAAACTAATAATAACTGAGTAATCCTGATTTATCTCCAATCTATTCAATTGATCAAGAAATACACACTGTCTGCTTTGTGACCAGAATACTGGAAAGAAAATATTCAGGAGAAAAGACTGCAGACAATATAAAGAAACCTCCTGGGGGTGGTTTTAACTTTCCTAGGTTTAAGTGAAAGTGGGAACACATTTTTCAGTGAGAAGAGAGTACCTTTTTATGCATGTCCTTGAGGGCAAGAATCATGTCTAAATTATCTTTTTATCTGTAGAAAGGAGAAGAGAAGCTGGCACTTAGCAGGTGCATAATAATGTTTGCTGAAGAAATATTGACAATCTTTCTGGGAAAATGTAGAGAGTGAGTAAATTACCTGATTATTTTCCACTTAATGACATCCTTCTCTTTTCTCCACTTCCTGGCTTAGGCTACCATGATGGGGAAATGTAGTTTGGTAACACTACTGGAGTATGAAATTCATTTTCCTATGGAAGAAATGTTTAAAACAACAGTTTAGACATTATTAAATAGACATAATAATTATTTTCCATTAGATGTAATTGAAATAATAATGATTAGATATAATTGAAAACTGTTTTGCAGAGAACAAATGTTTCTGTGGGCTATCTAGGAACTCAAGGCATATATAATGTAATTTCTAGGAACAAGCTTTGTGTTCAAACCTTGAGAACCTCATCGTTTTTCTAACTTGGCTTGACATCTACCTTCCATTTTTTTTCCTTTTTTCTTAAAAAGTAGGCTTTTCTACTATTCTAGATGTTATGAGTCTGTGGAAGAAATAACAGATACCAAGAGTGGCTTTCACTCAGAATAAAATGATATGTATCAAAAGGTACCTTTTTTTTTTTTGGTGTGTGCTGCAGGTGGGTTGGGAAGGGGGTGTTCTGGATTTATCCAGTTGGAAAGAAAATACAGAGGCATATTAAGCAGTTAATGAGAACTAGCTTGTGTGATTAATATAGACAAGAAGTGGCATAGTGATCAAAAGAGAAAGAAAGTTTAATGTAGTTTGCCATTTTTAGAAAAAGCTTCATAGTCAGTTTGGGATTTCAGGTAGGTAGGTTTTAGGGAGATGAAAGAAAAGAAAATAGGTATTTTTTAATCTGGAAATTTTTCACCAGCCCAGGAAAATAGGATTTGATGTTCCTCTTAGAAGCTCTGGTAACTCGTCCTTAATAAAAATTTGATCATACTGTATTTTGATTTATCTATCTCCTTTTATAGATATTCGAGTAAAATGCTTGAAGGCAGGAATGTGTAGATGAATTTAGGCAATAGTTGGAGATGTTTCACCTTTATTCTGAAAATGCTGAAGACTAAAAATTTTTTTATGAAGAATAAAAATACAACTGTCTGGAAATAAGATTGGAGGAGAAAACATGAAGGCAGGGAGATAGCAAATCCTGTTGATTAAAATAACTCAGATAGGAGAGAAAAAGGGGTGGAGCAATAGAGAATGGAAGGAATACCTAAAATGTGTTAACAAAGGAAAAACAAAATGTTTTATACTGGATATGAGAAATCGGAAAGAGGAGAGGGAAAAGTTAATAGACGTTCAAACATAGATTTTAAAATTTTCTGTCCAAATTAGTGGGTAAAACACCATAGCATTTGTACAACTGCCAAAACTGTTTTTCAGGTCTAAATAATTTGCATAATTACTGTCAGCATTTCTTTGTTCCTTCGTTATTTTCCAACTCTATTTGTTGACCTTGAGAAAATTAGTTTCCGTAGTCTCATACGTCTTCCAATGTCTGTGTTTTCTAGTGGAAAAAGAAAAGGGAATTGAAAACGAAGACAGCTACATTACATTTTGTCTGATATTGAATCACTGGCCATTTAATCTGCTCCTTAAAACTCTCTTTGAGTCATTTTTTCCACTTTGAAATGTAGCTTCATAGATTCAAGGACTTTTAGTAGTAAAAAAAAAAAAAAATAGAAAATTATCTAGGAGTTTAGATGCCACATCCAGGACTTGAAACAAACAAAAAGAAAATTATCTAGGAGAAAAATTAGAAAGTAATCACACATTTGAAGAGATACAGAAACTGAGGACCAAGTAAGTTATATGATTTGTTGTGAGTCCTGTTGTCAGTTAAGGACAGCATGAGGCTTAAAATCTGAGTGTGCTGACCTTCAGCCATTGCTTCTGATTGTATACCATAGTGATTTGGGTAAGACTACAGATAATCTTCCAAATGTTTATAATTAAGCTAACTGTTACATCTTGCTACACAGATATGTATGCCTGCAGGAAATTTGAAGGAAATCTCATCTAGTTTCCACTTAAATTTAGACTGTGACACAAAGGGCAAATTCACACTTTGAGCCACAACTGCAAAATAACCTATATTTTTTGAAACTTTCTGTTGAAATAATGTTCTGTAGATTTCTTGCATTTCTGTACATCTTGCAAGCAGAGGCACGGACTGTCTTTGTTCTAGATTATTTTTTTCCAAGATGTTGGTATAGCAAGCAGCACAGAGAAGCAAAAGTCTGGCATGCTTACTAGCCAGTATAATGAAGACAAAGGTTCCCTCTGGAGCAAAGTACACACATACTTATTGCCCACTATAAAAGATTCAGGCTTCCTAAACTCAGGGTTTCTCTCTGGTACACAGCCTGCTGAATGTGCTGGCATCCATCTAGCCTGTACACATTACTTTAATTGGGAGCAGGGAAACTGACACAAATATGCTGATGCTAATGTTACTTGCAGTGGTGTATAATAATACAGCTCTTTGTTTCTGACCTGGGAGTCTCATATCTTCTGCCACAATCTATGAGATTGTAGCAAACTAACTTGTTAACTTGCAAGTAGGATAAGATCTCAGCTCCTTCACAGTTCAACACTTTCTAGGCTGACAGATTTGTGGGCCCAGGAAATACTCTTATAATTGGTTAGGCATAAATAAAATTGGAAATGTTGTAAATCAATGGACATAACTAAATTTTTACTTAGATTTCTACAGTTTTAATTAGAACAGCTTAAGGTCTAAGTGTGGCATTAATATTCTGAGTCTCAACTGATTAGATTTGTGAAATACTATTATACTTAGTTGCTCTCATCAATTTCAATCTTTGTAGCATTAAATGTATTATTATTGTTATACTCTAAATGTTTTTGCAAATTAACAGGCTGGCAAAAGTTATTTTTTTGACACTTATGCAAGATAAACTGGCAAGCAGATACTATATAGTAATTTGTATAGTCAATGTGACCAAAATAGAAGGATTGACCATACTTTGGTTCCTAAGTTTTTTTGTGTAGGACTTGATGAAATTTCTTGAGGAGGATTGTTTTTCCTACTTGAATTTGGATACTCTCCAGGTCTGATTATCAGCACATTATCAAGGCCCAAGTCACAATTTGTTCTTGGTAGTTAAGCAAATTAAATAATTAAAGTAGGTATTTTCTGTTCTAGTGTTACTGTAAGCCAGAAACATGAATAAGGCCTAAATAGAAGAGAACAAGGGAATTTATCAGTTATATAGGTTTTGTTAAGGTCCAGCACAAATGATATCCAATATTTATGTAAATCAGAACTAAAGACTAAATTCTAGACTGCAGTAGCAGGTTGTTAACAAGTTAATAAACTTTCTTCCAACTCTATTATGTGTTTAATCATTTTCCTAGTATAGAGTTTGAAGCTAACAAACAATAATTATGCTTGCACTACATGTGTCCCTTTTTAGACATTAGTTCAAATTAGTTCTAAGTTATGATATACTTTTGTTTCATTTTTAAGCTTGTTTTTTAATTATCTTTTTTTTGTATAGAATTTAAGGCTGTTACGAGGTCATATAGATGTTACGTAGAAGAGGAGGGGCCAAGGAGAGTGAAAAGAGAGAGGCTAAAGAAAGTTCAAAAAAAGCTGCACTGTAGTTTAATATGAAAGAATTCCGGTGAATTGATTAGACAGTAGCTCACATTCAGAAAGCAGGATACGTGAAACTCATCTTTGAAGATCAACAAAGACTTTTTTTTGAGAAGAAATAGTAGCGTTTGACCCAGTAATATGTAATCATTTCAGAAATTCATTGATAACTGTTTTTTTTTAAATGAATAAAGGGAATGCAGAACATTGCAGTTCTGGCTAGCAGAGTCTGTTCCTTTGGGAAAAGACCCCCTTAGTATAGTACGCAAAGTCAGCCTGTCTGCTTTCTCTCTCTCTGGCCTACTTTACTTGCTGGCCATCTGTGGCCTAGTACATTTCCCAAGATGGCTCCCCTTCCATATGCTCTTCAGCAATGTGACCTTTCCACCTACCCCTCAACAAGAGGTGGCGTCGATTTCTTCACCCCTTGAATCTGGAAGGGCCCTGTGACTGCTTTGACCAATAAAATATGGCAGAGCCCTTAATTGGACAGGCACTTGCCATTTCCTGGCCTCTGGGAAGCCAACTGTAATAAAAGAATGCAACTATGTTCAAACCACCATACAGTGAAAACCCAAGCCATGTGGAGAGGCCTTGAAGAATGAAATGCCACATGGGAAGAGAGAGAGAGCAACAAGCACCAAGAAATCAGGTATGTGAGTAAGGATGCCACAGTAGGAGTAGATCCTCCAGCCTGAGCTGCCCCAGCTGACACCACATGTATCAGAATGAATCAGCCAGGTGAGCCCTTCCTTAATCCCCGACTCACAAATTTGAGAGAAAAATGAAATTATTTTAAGACAGTAAGTTTATGAGGTATTTTGTGAGGTAATAGGTAATTAGAATGCCACCATTCCTGACTGGATGGTAGTTAAAAGTTAGAGAACACTAAAAGGTAATAAACACTTTCTGTTGATTTTTTCTTTTACTAAATGGAAGGAATTTTAGTGGTCAGTCATTAATTATTAATTCACAAGAGTGATAAGATAGTAAACTGACTTCCTTTGCCATCTATTTTTTTTAATCATAACTATTTAAAGTCTCCTTGAAGTTTTTATGTTCGTATTATCTTTGGTTTCCACCATTCTTGAGATTCTTTGGCAAAGGGTAACATTGTGAAAAACAGGCTCATCTCCAAGTTAATCCTTTTTTGCCTTCTTCTCCTTTGATTCCATTATAGAAACCCCTGATCTTAACTTGGGGTATTTTGCAGCATTTTGCAAAACAACAATAACAACAAAAAATCGTTTTCTCTTATTCAGCTCTCTACTTGTAATGCCTGAAACATCTGAAACATTTCTGCCTCATAGATAATGATTTACATATTTTTTTTTTCTCACTCTCAGAGCACTGAGCAATTGCTGGGCCTATGTGTTTGCTGAGGAGTGGGGGCTCCTGAATTCATTTTAGCCGAAAGACACCCCACTAGAATATATTAACACTGAATTAGGAATAAGAAAACTGAGAATTTAGTTCAAAGTGCCTAACTGTATATGCAACCTTGAGTAGGTAACATAGCCTAGGGGGTTCCAATTTTCTTACTTACTGAGAGGTAGGAGCTGGATACAATGGTTTCTAAGTTACCTTCTAACATTGGGATTCTTTGTCTTCTTGTAAATTCCATCACTCCATGGGTACATATCTTTTAAAATATGATTTACATTTATAATGGACGTAAATATGGAGGCCCTAGGTTATTTGTTGACTTTTTATCAATGGGCCCGGAGTTTTTCTTTTGTTAAAAGAAAAAAATTTGCGATAACTTATTTTTAAGCTGGTTTAAGATAGAAAATGTTTACAGTAATAAATTAAGTTGCCCCTGAAAAAATATGTCTTTCAAGGACACGACCTGCCCCAATGTGCTATTTATTTGCATTTACAGGAAAACCCAATTATAACAGCTATTTTCAAGAACTAATATCACTAGAGACTGAATGTATAGTAGAGCAAGCAGATGATAATGCGTCCTAAAAAACTGACCTAGCCGGGAGCATGTACATGGTGAGCTCACCCACATTTTGTTATTCTTCAGTGAAATTCTACGTTTCATCTAAAATATTGTTGCTGATATTTATGTAAAATAAGACATAGTTAATCACTAGGCTAAATTTAATATTTGTCTCAGGTGAAGTGAGGTGTTAAAATTGTATGTTATGATTTCCAAAAGTTCTCTTTTTAGATTGCACAGGGTAAATTTTGCAACCAAATTACCTCTGTGGTAAACCTTATGTTGGACTGGTATAAAGCGAAAACAAGCAGGTCCCTAAACAATTGCTGCTGCTGCTGCTGCTGCTTTAAAATCCATCTCAGTGAAATCTTGATTGAGCTGGTTGCAATTCAGGAAGGAGACACTCCATATTTACATCAGACACAAAGATCTTTCCTCCCTTAATCATTCACTGAGGGGAGTAGTTGTTTAGTGGACTCATTTCTCTCTGGTCTTTTACACCTTAAGCAAGAATTTATGGCTCCTTAATTTCAAATCATAGCAGGTAAGATATAATGCCACCTTTTAAAGCTCATCTGTGTGAAGATGACCAAGGTGTAAAGGCTACTTAGTGAGGTGGCATGAGTCCTGGGTCCTGTCTTCCCTATGCTAACTAATTGTGGTACCTTGAGAGCAGTCCCTAATGTTTTTGGGTCTTGTTCCCTCCTTTGTCAAATGAAATGGATTTCACAAATTTTTCTTTGAGAGCCCTTCCCCATGTGAGACTTTTGTGATGATGAGGTCTCTTTCTGTTTAGGCAAGATGCCTTCCCACTGTCCTCTTCTTGTTTCTCACTTCCTCCTAGGACTTGTGAATATAACATTTTTGGTGGTGACAGACTAATGCATCTGTCCACCCCTCATCATCATCTCTCTACAGGACTGCTGTTATAGACTCTTAGATACCTCTCATCATATCCATTCGCTGCTTAGTTCCCATTCAATAACTCTTTATAAGGAATGCTCTTTACAAAAACTTCAGATTTTATCATTTCACTTATTTCTTTAAACCATTAAATGGCTTTGATGGCTTTTAGGTCTAAATCCCGAATCCTTAACATGGCCTGTTGAGCTCTTCACTCCCTGCATCTCTGGCATCTTCCCATGCCCCACTCTGGTTTAATTTAAATGTGCTGCAATAAGCACACATGATATATTTTACTAAGGAACCACTGGTAATATCAGGCTGAGGATGTTGCTGGGTGTGGCTTCTCAAATCTCTCCAGCTCTTCATGGGAGATGGGCTCAGTTTGGTGGTCATGGAATTCTTCTTGCCTAGGCATAAGACTGGTTCTTCTATCTCCAAACATATTCCCTGAAACTTCAGAGGAAGTGTGTTACATGGTTGCAAAATCTGCCCTTTTTAGCCATATCACCAGTATATAACATCCTAGTTTTAGGGAAATATTTTCCATAAGCTAACAGGGCCATCTTACTACATGGTTCACAAGGTATGTAATAATGATTAGGTATGACACATGGATACTATATTAGTTTAGGCTGCTGTAACAGAATACTATAGACTGGGTGGCTTAAACAACAAACGTTTATTTCTCATAGGTTTGAGGACTGGAATGTTCAAGGTCAAAGTGCAGGCAGAGTCAGTGTCTGGTGAGGGCCCAGGTCCACTTTCTGGTTTGCAGATGACTGTCTTCTCATTGTATCTTCACATAGCTGAGAGACAAATAATCTTTCTTCTGTTTCTCCTTAAGGGCACAAATCTCATTCATGAGCAGTCCACGCTTATGACCTAATTACCTACTCTGATAGTTAATTTTATGTGTCAACTTGACTGGGTTAAGGAATACCCAGATAGCTGGTAAAACATGATTTCTGAGTGTGTCTGTGAGAAAGTTTCTTGGAAGAGATTAGCGTTTGAATCAGTCAACTGAGTAAAGAAGATTCACCCTCACCGATGTGGGCTAGCACCATCTACTCCATTGAAGGCGCAGATAGAACAAAAAGGGAGACGAAGGATGAATTCTCTGCCTTCTTCAGTTGGCACATCCATCTCTTCCTGCCCTCAGACATCAGTTTCCAGTTCTAGGCCTTCAGACTCCAGGGCTTACACCAGCCTCTCCACCCTCACCCTGGTTCTTGGAGTCTCAGGCCTTTGGCCTCAGCCTGAATTACACCACAAGCTTTCTTGGTTCTCCAGCTTGCAGGTGTTTTATTGTGGGACTTCTCAGCCTCTGCAGTGGTATGAGCCAATTTCCATAATAAATCCCCTCATCTATTTATCGCTATATATCCTGTTTGTTCTATTTCTCTAGAGAACTCTGACTAATACACCTCCCAAAGGCCTTGTCTTCCAACACCATCACATTGGGGGTTTGAATTTCAACATGTAAATTTTGCAGGGACACAAATGTTTTGTCAGTAACAGATACCTACGCGGGACACTGAGAGTCTATGGACAAACATGCTTGCTGATACTTTTAGGCCTAGGATGGAGTCACTACTGCAGGCCTGGCTGGAAGCTACCATTCAACTATGTGGGCCTCATCTCAGTTCTGCCAGTGTCATGGTCTTTTCCACCAGAGGGCATTCTCCAGTGCTGTTGTTTTTGCTCAAATTATTCTTTAACTCCCACTTACACCTTCCTTTTCATTTAGATAATTTCTATTTACAGCTCAGATCTTCTCAGTTTACAAGCCACTTTCTCTCAGAGACTTTTCTTGTTCTTTCAGACTAGGTTTGGTGCCCCTGTTTTATGCTTCTGTAATACCTTATCTCCTACAGAGGGTGTTACTGTATTTCTGGTTCTATGACCATCACTAGCTTTAGATTGTAAGCTCTGTAAGGAAAAAGATTATCTAGTTCATGCCAAAGCCCCAGTAACTAGCATGGGGTCCAGCATATAGTAGTCAGTGACCCCCCAAATATCTGTTGGATGAATAAAGGAATAAATAAATTTAGAGGAGAAAGACATAGGTGAGAGGAACAAAAGGATCTCAAGGAGGGAGAAGAAGTACTTCTTGCTGATGCTGATGGTGTAACTACTAAGAACTGGGAGAAATAAATAAAAAAGGCCTCTTGCCTGGCCCATGATCCTCACTTTAGCTTCCAAGGAGGTGGAACTACTAAATAGAGTCCTTCCAGGTCTTCTATGGAAAAGAAGAAGTATAGACTAACACTAGGACAGACACTTGGCAATTCAGGGAGGGCACTGGAGGAGAGCAGTCCCCAGGCCCAGAAGTAGATCTGACCCCAACTCTGTGTACATTCCAACAAATACCAGGGGCTTTAAAAAAAAAAAAGAGACAGGGTCTCACTATGTTGCTCAGGCTGGTCTTGAATTCCTGGGCTTAAGTGGTCTTCCTGCTTTGCCCTCCCCAAAGCACTGGGATTACAGGCATGAGCCACTGTGCCTGGTTGACCAGTGGCTTTTTCATTGTGAATTTTGGGAAGCTGGATTTTCTCTTTGTTATCTTTATATTCCATATCTTTTCCCCACTGATAACAAAAGTATAAAAAAGAGAGAAAAAAGAATTCTTAGGGAATGTCAAAAAAGTCATGTGTTTGTTTGTAAGACAGGCAGGCATTCTGTGTTTACATTCTCAGTGAGTCAAGAAGGGAGACTACCATGGTCAGAACAATGACTTTTGGCAACAAAAGGACACAAAGGATTTATTGAGGAAGAGAGGCAGGAGGAAAAGGAAAGTGGACAGAAGCTGCTCTGGGATTGTGATTCTATAGATCTGGCAGGCATTCCTTTTTGCTACCCACCCCTAATAAACAATATTTTTCTCCTCATCTCTTCTGATCTCCCTGTAATTCCTTTTGGTTCCCTTTCTTACCAGACTAGTGCCTTTAATACAGGACATAGGATCAATTTTCAATAGCTAAGAATGTTGGTGCAATGGGAGTATCGTTCACATAACAGACATCCTAAAGTGGAAATATAACTATGTATTCCCTTAAAAACATGGGTAGATATGGTTAGTTACCATAGGCTAGCTGTTTTCATAAACAACACCATAATCTCAGTGATTAAACTCGCATGAGAAAAAGTTACTTGTGTCCTATGAGGTTTAATAAAAAAGGGAATAAGAAGGACTCTGCTCCACACAGTAATTCAGGGATTCAGCCTTTCCCCAGTCTTTGCTCTTCCACCTTCTAGGTTTTGTCTGCCTGTGTATTGAGCTAGCACATGAATAGAGATTACTCATGGGAGGGTTTATTAACTAGGCTTCAACGTGGCGTACACTTCCACCTACATTCTACAGGTTAGAACTAAATCTCAAGGCTGCAACCAACTATAAGGGAGGATGGAAAATATAACTGTACTAGTTTCCTAGGGTTGCCATAGCAAAGCACTACAAACTGGGTGGCTTAAAATAACAGAACTGTATTCTCTCACAGTTATGAAGACTAGAAGTGCAAAACCACGGAGTCTTCAGGGCTATGTTCCTTCTGAAGGCTCTGGAGAAGGACCCTCCCCTGCCTCTTCCCAGCTTTTAGTGGTTGCTGGCAATCATTGGCATCCCTTGCCTTGTAGCTACATCACTCCAATTTCTGCCTCTGTCTTTGCATGGCCATCTTCTCTCTGTGTGTCTCTACATCTAGTTTTTTCTCCTCTTATAAGGACACCTGGTCATTGGGTTAGCCCACCCTAGTTCATTATGACCTCATCTTAACTGGGGCTTGAACATATCTTTTAGGGGGACACAGTTCAATCCACAACAGTAGTCTAGCTATGTGTCCAAAAGGAAAAAAAAATGCTTTGGTGTCCCCTATTGGATCTTTGCCAAGTTAAGATTTTCTACCATAAGTAATAGTGAGTGGGAAAGCCTTTTGAGGGCTTTAGAGAACTGAGATTTTTTAACATAGTTTCTGTGAAAAAATGTTTGTAACAACAGACAACTCTTGACTCACAAATGGAGATAATCTACCTGTAAGACATCAAGGCTTTATACTTCAGAGAACTTTACCTCACTCAAATAATGTTATGAATTTAAATAGTGTGTTAGAGTTCTTAATACTATTAACACTCATGGTTTAATAAAATAGAATAGGCATATGAAAATTAGAATAATCACCTCTAAAACTCCATGCCTATAAAATATGCTTAACAAAACACCAATAAAGACATCTTCATATTTCTGCCTGGGTCATTGTCATCTGACAGCGGTTTCTTTTCCTGGCATTTTCCATCTTAGTCTTTGTCCATCTTATACTTTATTAAGTGGCTGCTTTTCATTGAAGCCAGCTATGATTTAATAAAAGAACAACAGCCTTCAAATCTGATGAACTTAAGCTCTATATCTTATTAACTTTCTTACTTTGGACAAGTCACCAAACCCACTTTTTATTTCAGTTTTATCACCTGTACTGTGGTTGACACTAACCTTGTGTGGTTATGAGAATCCCGTAAAGTCACTTAGTATTTATTGAGTATCTGTCATATGCTGGCACTCTTATAGGTACTTGAATTATATCAACGAGAACAACAAAGATCTCTGTTCTCATGGAGCTTCCATTCCAGGAGCTAAAAGGGCTTTATGAATTATAAAATGCAAATGTAAGGTATTATCATCATTGCTATTGTGCCTGCAGCAACTCCCTTTTCTCAAATATCTGTAAAAATCTTATTTAAAATTATATATAGCTCTTAGATATCAGAAAGTACATAAAGGGAAAGAAAAATCTAAGAAATAAAAAATAATCTTTTAGATGTCTAATTGTAAATAAAAACTCATAGTAAGTACTGAAAATGTTTCTTTACTGTATTTAAAAATAGTTCCTAGTCCCCTATTATATGCCATGCACTGCAGTAGGCTTTATGTGGCATGCCAAGATAGATATTAATCCTGCCCTCAAGGAGCTTAGAGTCCAGTTAGGGACATGCCCACTGGAAAATGTACATTAGGATAGGAAGTGAAGAATACTCAGCAGACAGGCACAAGGAAATTGACGGAAAGCTTTCAGAAGAGGAAAGATGACTGCCCAAACACTTATAACATCTTGACATTTTCTATAGAAAATGTCAGAGAGATATTTACCCCCGGTGTTGTAATTGATACAATACTACCGGCACCTGTTTAACTACTGGCTGGGATTTTCATTTTATACAGAATTTAGATGTTTACATCTATGTTATACTGTATAGCATTTGGGCAATACTTTGTACAGGAAGTGCATTGTATACAAGTTTAAGTAATATTTCAGAATGACACTGCTATGGCTTGAATATTTGTGTCCTCCAAAATCATGTTGAAACTTAACCCCCAGTGTGATGGTGTTAGGGAACTGGGCCTTTAGGAGGTGATTAAGTCACGAGGGTAGAGCCCTCGTGAATGGGATAAGTGGCCTTATAAAAGGGGTGGAGGGAACTAGGTAGGCCCTTTTTGCTTTTCTTTCCTTCTGCCATGTGAGGAGAGTGTTCAATATGCCATCTGGGAAGAAGAGACCTGGCCCTCACCAGACAGTGAGCCTGCTGGTGCCTTGATCTTGGAACTTCCCAGCCTCAGAACTGTGACAAATAAATTTCTATTATTTATAAATTACCTCGTCTCAGGTATTTTGTTATAGCAGCACCAACACACTAAGATACACAAGCAGCCAGCAGGGTATAGCAGACTGTCAAATTGAGAAGCCAAAATCTGAGAATTTACAACCATGCACTGTATGTTTGAATGTTGACAGAGGAGGCATTGTTACAAAGGCTGTCAGAACATAATCAGAAGTTACTAATTCATAAACTGTTGAAATACGAAGTATATTTGTTTTCAATTTGCATTGCAGAGGTGATGTCCAAGCAATGATTCTATTACTAATTGGGCTACCAAACACATTGATTGAAAAACGTGTTCTGACTTCAACTGACAAAGAACATTAACAGCATCTCTCTCCTATAGATCCAGTTACGACAAAGGTTTTCCATTTTGCTTCTTCTTTTCATGGTATAATAGTTTCCTCAACATTTTTGCCAAGAAGTTCCCATCTCGGGACCTTTGAACTGCTATTCTGTTTGCCTAGAATATTCTTCCTTCAGGTAATTGCTTGGCTTGGTCCATTCAGATTTCTAAAGAGCATTCCTTAGCACCTTGTGTGCTAAGCACAGTAACATGTGTCTCTCATCACTCCTTATTCTACTTTTTTTCCCCAGAGCATTTGTCACTATTATTTTTGTTTACCACCTAGTTCCACTGTTAGAATGTAAGCACTATGACTGCAAAAATGTTTTGTTTATCATGATATCCACAGTAGTTAGCACAATGTGCCTCTAGTGCTCAGTTCCTGGCACATGATAGTCATCCAATAAATATTTATCGAGTAACTGAATGTGTCCAAGCTGAGGCTGCTCCCAAGAAAGGTCAAGAAAGGGGCATCTAATGGGACGAGGTGAGGGAATGAGTGAGGGGTTGGGAGAGCAGGTGGTTGGGGAGTAGGAAATGGCATGGGGATTTCAGTGGGGGCTGTGACCACAGTGGGAGTTGGGCTTCTGGAGGCTTCTGTAGAAGCTCTTTGGGGTTTTGTTTTAAAAAAAAAGAGAGAACCTTTGCCTCTTTGGCCTGGCTGTGTGATCCAAGATACCACTGAAGCAATGGTGAGAGAATGGCATTGGTGGAATGGGTCTGCTGAAACAGGAGGAGGGTGGAGGGAGTGAGGGGCAGCAAAACAGAGTTGACTCCAGATGATGACGTGGAGGGGCCTTAGGGTGGTAAGGCAGAGAGAAGGAGCAATCCTAACAGCAATGGGGAAATAGGTGAATTTTTGTTGCTCTGTCTGATGGAAAGGTGAGTTCTCAACTGCTGCAGTCATTTTCACATAAATATGTTTCTTAAGGTACACTTTCAGAGTTGAAAACTGTCTATATTTGTAATAATAATAAGATTAGCAATAGCAACACATTTACATAGGCACCTTCCAATTTCAAAGTGCATTTATATACACTATCTCGTTGGTTTAATCCTTACTCTATTTTTACTTCTAAGTATGCTGTGTATTATACTTTACGTTCATTGTCTGGGAATAAGGGCAAGTGTTTAGAATATACATATGTGCATTTGTACAAAGTATATTAGGTTCTGGTTGCATCTACAAGTGTGTATATATATATATATATATATATATATATTTTTTTTTTTTTTTTTTTTTTTTTTTTTTTTCAAGGCGGAGTCTTGCTCTGTCACCGAGGCTGGAGTGCACTGGGGGCAATCTTGGCTCACTGCAACCTTCGCCTCCCGAGTTCAAGCAATTCTCCTGCCCCAGCCTCCCCACACCTGGCTAATTTTTTTTTTTTTTTTGTATTTTTAGTAGAGGCAGGGTTTCATCACGTTGGCCAGGCTGTTGTCGAGCTCCTCACCTTGCGATCCACCTGCCTTGGCCTCCCAAAATGCTGGGATTATAGGCATGAGCCACTGCGCCCAGCCTACAAGTTAATATTTTTAAATATACAAGTATGGCCACCTTAATCAATAAGTGAATTTGGGTTTCTTGTTATAAAAACAAGCCCCATTTTTTTAAAATCAAGAAGAATTCCAGAACTTTATAGTATACACCCCTTGAGAGGAGGGATTGTGTTTTATTCATCAGTCAATAGACACAATTAGGTTAAGAAAACTTTTGAGATAAGTTATAAAATATTGCAACTCCATTAGTTTTTTATGTTTTTATTACTGATAGTGTCTTAGATATTTAACAAGCCTTGATTAACTGCCTTTAATGTGCCATGGATTATGCTTGGTTCTGGGAAATTCAGTTCTCCCCCTACCCAGACACACACACACACACACACACACACACACACACACACACACACACACTCCTGATCTAAAGCTCTTGGCCTATCAAGAAAAGATGGTTAGGTATCTGGGCAGTTGTGTAATACATTGTCACAGGTATACTGTCAGAAGCTTACATTGGAAAGAGAAGGCACAGGAGAAGAGAGTGGTTGGGGTTATCTGGAGGTTGGAGAAGCTGTTCTCAAGGCTTTATGACAGAAGTCATCCTTGAGTGTAGTTTCAAAAGATTATATTTTAAACCAAGTGAATGACATCTGAAAAACATAGCTTTCTTATATTCACTTTAGGATATTAATAACCAATCCTTTTCCTTAAGTAGCCTCTTGACTGGCTAAATGTACCTCTTCAGGTTCAGAGACACATTCTAGAATGTTACAGTTTTCTCATTATGCATTGTATCTGTTCCGTGTTGAAGTACCTGTAGGAAGAAAATTAAGTACAGGTTTTGTGTGTAGGTTGAGAGCTGATCCTATCAAGGGTGTGTCAGAAACCAACCAGCAGAGTCCCCAAATCATTCGAGTCCCTGGCATTCTTTTTTCAAGGCTTTCTTCATTGTAACCGGTTCCTGATGGTAATTGGTTGAATCAGATTTAACAATGCAGTCAGATAAACAGTTGTGGCAGCTGCTGCCATGGCAACGTCACCGTCCTTACCCTCCCAGTGCGCGCCCCTTCCCCACCCCTCCTCCTCCTCCTGCTTTCCTCCAGTAAGTGCATACCCGCTAGTGGTCTGTACAGGCGGCACGGTTTGATGGCAGAGATATTTTCTTTCCAAACTGTTCAAAATGATGAACGAAGATGCAGCTCAGAAAAGCGACAGTGGAGAGAAGTTCAACGGCAGTAGTCAGAGGAGAAAAAGACCCAAGAAGGTAAATCGCCGGAATTAGGAATGTCTGTGTATAAATATGTATGTGTGTGCATGTGTGAGTGTGTAATATCAGCAAGGCTATGGAAACCGTGGAGCATTATGAGTAACTGTAGACGATAACAGTGCCAAGCCTTGCTTTTTAAAGAGGCAGGTGCAAACTGCTGCTTTTTGAGAATAGTAAAGGAGCCATGGCTCATAATGGATACACTGACTGGAGCATGGTGAAGTGAATAGAGATAAGGTGTGTTCCACATGTGGATTACTGAGGACCGTGGCCACTGATGGATTCTTCTGGTGTTAACTGGGTAGAGAGAGTCGTTTTATTTTTAGTGTGTAAAAGGAAGAGTGTTAAGCAACGTGGATTGTGAAGCAAAAGGCAGATTTTTGGCCAGATGCGTTTGCTCTATGATGATCCTGAGATGGCTAGACAGCAAAAGCCTTTTGGTTTCATGCTAAGTGTATTCCTCCTAAGGAGAAAAGACTGCTGTGACAGGAGAAATATCATCCCCAGCATGATATTTCTTTGGCTTGCTTAGCTCCTCTGCAGTTTTCCCAGACATTAGTGTGATAGCTCTTTCAATAATAAGAAAAACAGCTAAAGATGTTATGGGGTGGGGGCTCTTGGGCACACAAAGCAGTCTGTAGGATTTCTTACTGTGGCATACATTCCCACACCCTCGATTTTCATGGAAATGATAGCAGCGAGAAACAGTGGGAAAAGATGCAAACTATTCAGCCCCACCCAATGCCAGCACTTCTTTCTTTATGGCCTGACTCCTTCTGGTAAACTGTTGCAGCCTCACAGAGCTTCCCTGAGCCTCACCTCTGAAAGAGATGCTCTATAAATAAATTCTCCTAAAATGCATTTATTTCCTGGAGCAATAATATGGGCAGGATATTAGATATGATTGTAATGTAAATGGCTTTCAACATTAGATGGTTTTGGATTTTGAATAAGCAGATTGCAAAAAATAATAAGCATGAACAAATGAATATTTTTCATTTTGCTAATGAAGTTGCATTGTGTTTCAAAATTCTAGATGTCTAGTGTACTAAATGTTTTATAATCTAAAGATTGTAAATAATTTGCAACCTCTGATATTTAAAAGATCACTGTATCAGCAAACAAGGGAGTAGTATATTTGTATGGTATCATGCAATTTGATAGAAATAAGCATGTGATGATTTTTAATCATAGCGTAGAGATAGTGATACAATCTGATAACAGGCAAAAGGATAATTCAGGGCAAGCAGGAACATTGGTAGAATGTCCTTTTCCTTTTGTACCTAAGCATTCCAGATCTAGACCTTGAGGGCATTTTTATAGAGTGTTAGCTAATTGAACAACATAAAAAAAGAAAAAGAAAATAGAAGAGAGAGCGCGAGCAAGCAAGAGAGAGGGAAAAAGAAAGAAAAAAAGGAATTTTTGTTTTAATTCACATTATCATTTCAAAATCCCGTATTTTCTCTCTAAAGTCCCTGTGGTGCTTTAGAAACAATATACTCAGGACTATTAAAGGGGTGGAGAATGAATCTTGAGATTTTTGAGCTCTGAATGATGATACTAACTTCACATGACCAAAGCCATTTTAAAGTCTTTGAGGAGGTAGAGACAACGAAATCATCCTATGTAATAACTATCATATCTTTAAGCTGAATTTTCTCAAATAAATTTATTTTAGGAGTAAGTCTTTTTCCAAACTTGCATCCAAAATGAAAGAGCAAGTTTTGAATGTGTGTGTCAGAGCACCATGAATATTGAGTGTTAAAAGGAGTTTCACCTAAAAGAAATTGCTTTTGAAAAAAATGCTAATTACATAATAGATTAGGGGACGCACACACATAAACACACACATACACATCCCTCAGCTTGCCTAGTCAGTCAGACATAAGTGGGTCTGAATCTCAGTTCTACCCTTTAATTTTGTGTGTTTGGAGCACATCATTTAATTTCTCATTTAATGAATCCAGGGATTCATCTGTAAAATGAGAATAATTATATATAGAATATTTTATGAGGATTAGAAATAATGTATATATGATTATTTGAACAGTATTTAAAACATATAGTCAATGGCAATAACTTTCAGGTGTTATTCTCTTAAATGGAATTTGTTTATTGCAATAAGCCTTTTAAGAGAAAAATCTGTTTATACTTTTGAGAGAGGCAGAAATGACAGAATCCAATATTGGTGCTTTGCAAAGGCTAGTAGTCATTTTTCAAAATGTCAAAAGTTATATGCTATAATTGGAAACTTTTTTATCTCAAAAAATCATTGAGATTTACATAAATGTACCTTAGGTCTTTATATTATTGTTTCACATTATTTTGCACAGCAAGAAACTTACATTTTCATATTTAAACACTAGACCATTAAATGTGCCTTGATGAGGACATTAATGATAAAGAGATAAGTATCCCTAATAAGCATAAAAGCTGAGAAAGCAAAAATTGGAGTAAAGTCAATGTCACATCACTTCAATTCGGTTGTTTGTTTTTCTACTAGAGGTTTACATTGAATCTGCTGTGGGATTCTACTTAAGCATCCAGGACTACGGACCACCAAGCTCACTATGGCCTGGGTGTGGATCTATCCTACTGAATCATATTCCTTGAAATCATGCGTCTATCTCTAGTAAATACGTAACAGATGGGCTGTAATTTACTTGTTTATTCTGTACCTTCCAAAAGTACCTCTTCTGAGGGACAGAGCTAAAGGGTCTTTTGCCACCAGACCTACAATGTGAGAAAACAAGCTCAAGGAGGAATTTATTTATGTCAAAATTTTACTGAGTGTGTTGAGAATAGAAATTCTTTGAGCTTTACTTAAGGTTGTCTATTTTGGCTTCAGTAAGGGAGCTTGTCGGTGCTCTCCACTCAGAAACCACAAGGAGTACACTGGTGGTTGAACATGATGGGTTTATGACTCATTGCCGCGAGGAGGATACACATCATGGGGAACCGTGGGGGCATCTCAGTAAACGGGTGCCAGGAAGAATGCACAGGATACGGGCTTCAGTTGAGTAATTTGAAAGAGGGTTCAAGAGACTGGTGGCTCACTCTGGGGATGGGGTACTCCCAGAAAGCAGGAACAATTCTACGATTGTGTATCCCAGTAAGTCTTATCTACAGGAGAACAGGCTAGAGCGTTACTAAAGCTATAGTTGTAAGGAGGCAGTAATCTCATTTGGCAAGAGAGGGAGATGTTTGGTATTTTGTGTCTTGGACAACGTCTTTGTTTTGTCTGTGTTCAGACATGATATGGGAGTGGTGTTGTTTTGGTTTTACTCTGTCATGGTCAGAGTGGCCTTGTCTGATGCTGATGCTTTGAGAAATTTTTTATGTTCAATAGGAGAACACTGAGGCCTAGCTGATAGTACCAGGCCCCCTCCTGTGGGTCAGTGGCTGCCTTTCTCATTCTCCAGCTTGAACACAAAGATACCTTTGGAGAGAGAGAGAAAGACTTGTTTATTATTGGATACTCTTTAGTACCCAAAGAAAATAAATTGTAGGTAGTAATGTTGTTAAAGTAGTCATGAAAACCTTCATCTGATACTTCCAACAAAGTTTTCTTAGGGCCAAGATATTTCATACTAACAGATATTGCCCAAGGTGCAGATTTGGGATTGATGTTCTAGTGGTGGTTCAGTGGCGAAGAGGAAATGGGGGCTATTCTAATTCTCAACTGGAATCCAGGACTAAAAAGAAGCATTGGTAGCTATGTGAAATGTATCCGTGTAAGACAGCTTTGAGCCTACTCTAAATCCCAGACAACTCTATAAAGATTTTTATATTTTTTGAGGCAGGGTCTTATTCTGTCACCCAGGCTGGAGTACAGTGGTGTGATCATGGCTCACTGCAGCATCAACCCACCTGGCTCAAGCGATCTTCCTGCCTCAGCCTCCCTTGTAGCTGGGACTGCAGGCATGTGCCACCACAGCTGGCTATTTTTGTTTTTTTAACTTTTTGTAGAGACAGTCTCCCTAAGGAACCCAGGCTGGTCTTGAACTCCTGGTCTCAAGCAATTCTCTCTCATCCTCTCAAAATGCTGGCATTACAGGCATGAGACTATAAAACTTATTCCACTATTCCACTATTTTGACAGATTAGATTAAAATAATCCAAGACCATATTTTTGTGTGCAGCTCCACACACTTTCCAATTTTGTAGCAATAACATAGCAGTGGATTTATACTAAAAGAGGCTGTAGGAGATTTTGGTAATTTACATAATTGGAAATGGGAATGCCCAAGCATCAATCACAGGTGACAGCCATCTGAAACCACTAGGCTTGTGAGTTCTTCTAAAACAAGTACATGAGTAAATGGTTTACTAACTGTTTTTCCCATTTAGTGGAATAATGATATGAAGATAAAAATAAAATATCAGCACCATTATTTTCAACAGAGTAGTAGGATAAAATGGCTTTATAGGATACCTTATATTTATTGAAGATGCTTTGATCTGGATCACTAAGATATTCATAAGCATTGCAAAATATTTTGAAGGTACACACACACACACACACATATTTAATGGCTGTTTAGGCCACTGCCTAAATAGAGAGATGAAGGAGGAAAGTGTTGCCAGATGTGTGGTTAAAATGTTGTACCATAGAAATGTGAATGAGGTACATATTAAAAGGTTTATTTTTATAGCAGCCAAAGAAACTATGCCCTTTTTAGTGAAATCAGGTAGTAGATCCAACATTTGGGTGTCCAAATAGTATTGGAGTCAATTAATTTTGAATTTAAAGTTGATGCCTTATCTAGTTCACTGATATCTAGACAGGCTTCCATGTATAATTTATTCTGAATAATATCCCTATTTCTTCAGTCTTTCAAATAACTTACCATTTGCCCTTTATAAAATACCAACTTATAACCCAAAATAGCATGTGTTGCCTGAAGACAGTAATTCCCCATCACTGAAGGTATTTAAAATGACCATCTGTCAGGGATGATGGAAATTTTTATTGGAAAGAAAAATACCTTATAACCTGGTATTCTGTGATTTTCTTTCAATGTCTTCCTCTCTGTTTCTATTTACTCACTTTTATGATATTAATTTTTTCACTGATAATTTCATGTCTTAGTAATAACTAATTTATCCTTTTTAGAGCAGCATATTTCAAAGTGCTGTCTGCTGACCTCAACTACCAGAATTACCTGGGTTGTCTGCTAAAATAATTCACTTCTTAGGACCCACTTCAGACCTGCTGTGTATCAGAACCTTTGAGGATTTTTAACAGGCTCCCAACTCTTTCTTATGCATACTCAAGTTTAGAACCATTGTCTTAGCCAGGTGCAGTGGCTCACACCTGTAACCCCAGCACTTTGGGAGGCTGAGGCAGGAGGATTGCTTGACCCCAGGAGTTTGAGACCAGCCTAGGCAAGATAGCAAGACCCTGTATCTAAAAAAATAAATAAAAATAAAAAATTAGCCAGGCATGGTTGTACATGCCAGTAGTCCCAGCTACTGGGGACTGCTGGGGACACCCAACCCCCGAGGGTGAGGTCATAGTAAGCCATGATCTTGCCACTGCACTCCAGCCTGCATGACACAGTGAGACTGTCTAAATAAATAAATAAATGAATAAATAGATAGATAAATAAATAAATGAATGGAACCATTGCCTTAGAATGTGGTCAACAGTCATGAAGTTGAGTTATCTTAGAAAGAAGAATCTTTAATTTTGATTAGATGTGTTAGTTTATTACTTGGCTCTTACAGTAACATTTGTTTAAGTCTAGATGGCAGCAGCAATGACACAAGAAAATTGAGAACAACATTTCTTTTAATCTTACTCTTATGTCTGGAATCTAGAACTGCTTTCACATGCTATCTTATTTGATCTTCAGAATAACTCTCATTGCATATTATTATCCCAGTTTCATAGATGAGAAACTGGAGACTCAGAGACTACATACAGATGGTGCTGAAGAGACCATAGACATTTTTCCTACTGTTCAACTAATAACATATTTTGAGCCATTTCTCCTGTGGAAACCAGGTGTAAGGTAGTCTTCTGTGTCTCTTGCAAAGATTCTGTGGTTATCTTCTAAGATATCCTCCTGATTCTTCCTTCCAGTGTTGCTGCCATTTTGCGTCAGTTGATCACATTTCCAAAAATGCTCACTCTTATCTATGGGAATAACATGGAAAAGTAACTTCTTTCATGGCTATCTATGATACTCTCCCAAGCAGCATTCCCAAAAGAAGGGAAACTTCTTTTGCTTCCATTATGTTTTGTGCTATGTTGTTGTAGATGTATCCATCAGTCCATGTAGACAACATGTTGGACTTTGAAAATTCACAAAAATGTAAGAAACAAAACTTAAGTAAACAGCTGCCTTCATGTGGCTTAGGCATGTTAAATTAAGCCACCATAAAAAGTTCACCCTACTTTCACCATTTTAGCTCTAATTATTCTCTTGAGAAAATTTTGTTAGTATGATATTCTCAGTAGTTGTTCTATTAAAAGTTCTTTTCCATACACTCTTTTCTGAAGTGTTGGAGGTTTCTTTTTCCTTCTTGATAAAGTTTCTAAAGAGACATTTGATTGCACATTAAAATAGACTTGAAATTTTAATCTGTATTTGTTTCTGTCTTGTCCTGATTCAGAGCATGCTAAATTATAAATATGCTTACAGCTTTACTTCTGTCTTGCTTGTACTCTGTTCTAATTCCTGTTGGAGGCAGAAACAAAATCACTGCCTATTTTTATCTCATTGGACACTGGTCGGATACATCACAACAAATAAAGTTACCATTTCAATTTCCTTTTACTAGATAGAGCAGAGATGGGATTGCTACCCAGGGAGACAATCTTTTGATAGAAAAAGTTTAAATTTTTATGTACTCGAGACCAAATAAATATGATAGAGTATTTCTTTTTCTTTGAAATTCATGCCTACATCCCAACCCGTAGGGAGGGTCATTTTTAAAAAGCTGCAGGGAGAAGGGAAAATATGTTCTAGATAATAATATACCACAGTCTACAGGGTGAGCATCTTCTTAGTCATGAGACCTGGTTTTTATTCATGTTTTTCTGTTAACTCACAGACAACTATCATCTTCTTCCACACACTAATTTGTGTTTGTAGTCATTAAGACAAAGACCTTGATTTCTAGCATTTGCTTAATGAAATTCAGTTTCTAAGAATCAGCTTGTTTTGCTCAGTTTAATTTAGGTGTTTCTTCCGAACACATGGGAAAGTTCCCCCAATTCAACAATTGGTATTGGTTTGCTGAGTGTATAGCACTGTGTTAGGTGCTATGGCATGGCTAGGCTAAAAGCCAATGATTGACACTTACATGGAATTCATAATCTGAGCAGACATTTCTATCTAAGAAAAAAGTAATGAGCAATCTACAGAAATATTATAGGTATACTCACACATATTATAAGTAAAATATAAATATGTTGTGCAATTGCCAAAAAGAAACTCTACAGGATTCTGTAGAAGGGCAAGAGATCAGTGTAATTTTGTTAGAAGAGTAAACCCTATGAGTGGGTGAACAGTAGTACAGAGCCGTAAGTTATGGCTAATGTGTGAGTATAAAGGAAGGGGATACACAGGCATTCTGGATGCAACAGCCTCAGGCATATAATTCCAAATTACAGTAAAGATTAGGAAACTGTTGAGTGATTTGTTGCAGTGCAGAGCCATAACCATTGTGAGTGGACTCTGACATGGTTGTCCTTGTGCTTTCAGCCTTAGCCAGCTGCAGCTTGCATTTTGGAATCCATCTTGTTTTGATGACTGAGCCTGTGTCCTTCTCCTATTATATATATATATGTTTAATCACTCATTTTACCTGTGAAAATTTGCCCCATATCTCTGTTTATAGATTATTTCTGCAATCAGTAGTAAATTCCAATAAGTAAGCCTCCAAATTAACAAGACATTCGAATCTAGTAGGGACAATTTTTGAAAGTATCTAAATATTCAGCCTTCTGCCTTTACCTGAAAGAGATGCTGGTATGGATAACCCAGGATTGCAATTATCTATAACACTTATACAGGCACTCATAATACTTTGCATAGCAGCTAAAAACTGGTTTGTCCCTTTGGGTTTTTATTTTATTGGTGATCATAATGTTATGCTAGTATAACATTACTAAGGTAGTCCACTTTGCAGGCTGACTTTGAGTTTGCTCTGGATCTTCTGTTGGATTTTCAGATCCTTGAACAAGAAATTTGAGACTTTCCCCTCCTTTCCATTTCCTGGTCTGGCCACAGGTTTCTGTGCAGTCTTCTTTGTCCATTTTAACTGGCAAACAGAGTGACTCATGACCAACCATTTCACTTCTGGCCACCTTTCACATCCTACTTACAAAATAAGCACAATTATAGCCAGTGCCACTTCAAAGAACACACATAGTTAAAGGAATAAAGGGGTGTTTTTGAAATAAAACTATAGAAACAGAGCTAAGTGTTAGGGTCTGTGTCGATACTAAAAATGGGAAGAAATTAAAAAGAAATTGTGAACCATTCTAGAATGTTTCACCCAGTGCTAGTAAGTGGTACCTTTTTATAAGTATTTTAATGTAATAATATAATGGTTACTGTAATTCTAATATTTGACAACATTCTTAATAATAAGTATTTCTATGTGGCCAATTGAGCCCAGTTTAGGTGGGAGGTATTCTAGTTTAAAAAAAATGAAAACTTAAATTCAAAACATTAGGAGAACTATATATGAGAAATTTAGTATTTTCTATGTCAAGATTTTGGTCCTCTTTTTGTATAATGCTTATCCCTAAAGAATCCCTTTTTCAGATGTTCTAAATGCTTGCCCAGAATTCAGAGGGTATGGTGGCGGGATGCCTTTCTCTCTTACTCCATAGCACTGTCTTGTAATAAGTGCAGAGGGGTGGCAATACACCCAATGGCCAATAATTTAAAATGAAAATCAGGAAGGAAAGAAATTAGAATAAGTATAGATACTTTCCATTATTTTAGTAGTTTAGAGATGCCATTAGAACTGCTAGAGATATTCATACTGCTATTAAATTAATGTGAATGTCTGTCTTAGTACTTTTGGGCTGATATAACAAAGTACCTTAGAGTGAGTAGTTTAAAAACAACAGAAATTTATTTCTCACAGTTCTGGAGGCTAGGAAATTGAAGATCAAGCCATCAGCTGATTTGGTGTCTGATGAAGGCCCCATTTCCTGGTTCACAGATGATGCCTTCTCTCTGTGCCTTCACATGGTGGAAAAGGCAAGACAGCCTTCTGGGGCGTCTTTTATATGGGCACTAATTCCATTCATGAAGACTCTGCCCTCATTGCCAAATCACCTTCCAAAGGCCTCAGCTCCTAAAGCCATTGCATTGGTGATTAGATTTCGACTTAGGGATCTTGAGGAAGACACAAACATTCAGATTACAGCAGTCTGCTTTAATGTTCTCCCATTCAGTTAAACTTGTATTAGATTGTGTATAGCCTGGCATGCTTAAATAGTATTTTCTGTAAAGTTGACACAGTAAATACTTTCAGTGTTCTGTGAAGTCAGTCAAATTCAGAAGACTAGCCCTACATATGAATTTGATCTATGTATATGTTGTTGCCATGAACTATAGTACATATGTTTAATAATTGTCTACGTGATTTATTCTTGGCTTGATCTACCACATATTATCATTTGTGTAGAAAAGGTGTTCAAAAGAGACTGTATAAATAGCCTATAAACATCAGTTCTGTTCAATGTGAAGAGGAAAGAGTTATCATAATGGTTCATACGGCATTCTTATAGGTCATTCCTCTGTCCCAATAAAGTACAGAGACTGTACTTTGAGAATTCAGAAATTGGCAACACTTTCCACACAGTCTATGATTCATAGTAGGGACTATGAAGAGCCTTAATGTGAATTAGCCATTTGTTTCCATAATTTTAGATTATTCTGAAAAGAGCATTTAAATAGCATTGATAAAATGTTCATGAGTAACACATTACTATACTCCAAGACTCAGAATAAGTTCATATACTGAGGTTTGGGGATGAGTGGTGACTGGATTTTGGTTTGAATGCTTAGCTATTTAGGGCATAGTGCTAATCTAGCCACCAATATCCCATAAGAGCCAGTTATCTTCATTTAGTGTCAAAGGCATACACTTCATTCTTAACTGAAGAGAGTAGCTGATCAAACTGACACAGCAAAGCAGAGTACTGCCAGATGTGTGCACACCCAACTACGTTACCAAAATTAACACACTGCGATTATCCCAGAGTCACTTATCTCCTAATGTGTGAAGGAATTCTGGTCCTTTTTAGAAGGTCATATGAGGGGAAATGATACTAATAGAATGACAGTCAAATAGGGGTCTTCTGTGGCATTGTGATGAAGTCTACCTCAATCAAACCCGTTTGAACACATGATGTTTTGTTAAATAAATGGAACAATTTATTTATAGAAAAATTATTTATTAGAAAAAATAGTTCATCCCATTGGAATTGCATTTTTCAATGATAATAATAAATAGTAGTTAATATTCATTGAGAGATTAGTATATCTACATGCCAGTCTACATAGAGTTCTACATAGATTATCTAATTTTATCTTCACAATAACGTGATGAGTAGATAGTTTATGATTCCATATTAAAGATGACACTGATGTCCAGATGGGTTTAAAAAAACCCTTCCTGCTTGAATCTACATAGCTCCTAAACGAGCTATCCCAGGTCAAACTGACCACTCTGCTTATCTCCAAACCCCTGTGCTATGTGAATACAACAATCTTTTACACAATTCAAATAGGATTAAGAATTAAAGAAATAGGAGTTTTGTTTATGTCCCAAACCTGTTTCACTCATATGCCTTCGCTGATTGGTCAATTGGTCAATGAATCTAAAAAGCTTTTTTTTTTTTTTTTTTTTTTCCCAAATACGGTTTAAAACAGAAGTATAAATCCAAATTAGAAAAGTTTTTTTATGTAGTTGTTGACTAAGATTATTAGATGCTTTCAGAATATTCAAGCCAGATGTGAATTCTCAGACTCAGCTGTGGAACACTGAAGAATGAAGCTTTATAGTTGGTATTTCCATCTGCACTTCAACTGTATTTGTCAAATGGCTGACACCCTTAGCATAGCCTCTCTAATATAAGGGGGAATTTGTTAGTGAGTTCATGTTGCTTGTCCTAATTCAAAAGGTCACTAATCTATCATGTGCTCCATAATCTCATTACACAGCAGGGACCTCTTTCCAGTTGTTAAAGAACCAGTAGGACTGATTGGCCTATTACATGGGGCAGTCAGGCATTTGTTTACTGGCCCATCTAGAAACTGGTGCTTTAAACTGTTTTTTTGGATGGGTAGGAGGTCTGTTCCATCTGGAACCTTGGTACCTCTTCCAGATGACCCTGCCCCAAGTGGCTTCCATGTTTGATTTGTGAAGGTAGTTCTTGAGCACTAGCAACAGGTTAGGTGTGGTTGGGGAACTTACACTTACTGTAACAAAACGCCTTGATCAGATAAAAAATTACTGTTGGAATAATTTTCTGAATCACTGACCCTCATCCAGTGGGAGACTAAAGCTCCTCCCCTGATTGCTTTTTCCCAGTAATAATTTAAATGGATGACTATTTTTGGTAACCTTTATTTATAGTTTGTCAAAATGAGCAGAATATTAGCTAAAGGAAGTATGTTTTCCTTTGTGGAGCAATTAATTTTTCGTTTCAAAAAGGCTGTCAGGAGATAATTTTTGTAGGTTGCTTATATAACAACATCAATAATTTAAAAAAATTACATACACACGTACACACGCACTTACATTATTCTGAGTTTTAGATATGAGGCTCTTGGAAATGGCTTATAAACTTTGGGGATTTTTTAAAAAAGATAAACTGCCATAACCATACTCCAATTTATATTTGCCTGGATATTTGAAGTATCTTCAATAATACTGCTGTTGTTTAATGCGCACAAAAAAATAATTAAAAAGAATGAATAGGATGTAGTATTAGCTAGTAAAACAGAATGACTATAGTAAAAAATAATGTAATTGTACATTTAAAAATAACTGAAAGAGTATAATTGGATTGTTTGTAGCACAAAGGATAAATGCTTGAAGTGATAGATACCCTGTTTACCCTGATGTGATTATTATGCATTGCATGCCTGTATCAAAATATCTTATGTAACCCATAAACATATACACTTATTATGTACCCACACAAATTAAAAATTAAAAAAATTTTGAAAAGCAACTAAAAAAAAATTGCTGTTGCCATAGAAAGTTTTTTATTATACACTGTCTTCATTCTAAAAACCTAAGGCCATGCCCTGTACAGGGTTTGGATTCTTGTCTAAAGCAGAATTATTAATTTAGAAGCCATAAATTAAATTTCCAAACATTCAAACAGGCTTCTTTCTCCCCAGGGTAGATTTTTAACTCTCTATGTCAGGATCTATTGGCAGTTTTTTGTTCCAACTCAGGTGTCAAGGGTCATGTGGAGACCATCATGATATGGCCTAATCTATAATTTAAGTATCATGTACATTTCAGTTTAATATTTTAAAATGAAAGTAATAATAATGTGCATTTTAGAATTTTTACTGCTTGAATTGGTGTCTCAAGTTTATTTCAAGGTGACCAATGAACAATGATTTTGGATCTCATTAAATTCTTAAATTTTCTGGCTGTATAGCTCTTTGTATATTTCTGTATGACTACATATCACTCTTTTATAGTATATTCATATAAGATTTTCTGCACTTTTTTGTACCATCCAGAAGAGCCATATTGTAGGTAGAGGTTATTATATACTTTATGAATTGCAGAAGTAAACAGTTTTGAATAATTCAATACACTAAGAATATATGGTTCCACATGGACCTCCTAGAACATTTTTGACACCAATAATTACATCACAGGAGTGATTAATACTTACGCAGATATGGCTGGCTAGGTCTTTCAGTATACTGAATGTTTACTGTATGTGAGAATGATCCCTTGCACCTTTTCAAGCACAGCTGTCTAGTAAACATTTATTGACTATTTGTCCAATAGGCTATGTAGCTCTGATATTTGATAATAGGATTAATATTTTGCCTTTTCTGTCTACATTACTGTACTAATTTGATTATTTTCCCTGGGCCTATCATGATGACAAGGAATTATGTCTGTTGACCTTAAAATGACCTTGAGGAAATGAGGTGCTAATATCAATTTAGGTGACAGATGATAAGTGCCTGTGTTATAGCTGACTGAAAATTCATGTTCCACAGCGTAATATCTATTTGGAATCTAAAATTCTAAAGTTGAATATGACATTTAGTAAAAAGATATCCAGTAGAATATATATTCATATCTCTGTGTGTGTATGAGTGTGTGTATTTGAGCCAAATATTCTCTTTGGGTGTTGCTAAATAATGGAAAAAGTTACCACCAAATTTGTTATGTGTTTTAAATGATAGCATTTGGTTATCATTTATTAAGGGCTCTCAAATCATACCTGCAGCCAACATTGTGGATAAGAGAATACTTGGTAACAATCATTATTAAAATAAGAAATTCTTGGAAAGGTGGATTTCAGCATTGCTTTCTCAGAAAACATATGGTACTTGAATTTGCCTTCTTCTCTGTGTCTAGTCAAGGTTTGCATTTCTTTAATGATGTGCATTTGCCCTTTTCCACTATAAAAAGAATTGCTTTTTGCCACAATCAGAAAACATTTAGTATATTTTATGTGGACACTTTCTCAGTTGGTAGAAGACGGAAGACCAAATAAGCTTATAAATAGTAATACACATGCATGATAATAGTAACAGATTATTTTAGTCTGCTGGCAGTTATAGGTAGGTATTTTTATACTTAATTTGAAAAATACTTGAGAATTAACAGCAAATGTAAAATTCAAAGAGCTGAATTATGAAAAATGATATTTTATCTCATACAAATACATTTTTAAATTCTAAGATAATGAAACTGAACTCTTAGTGTGAGTTTAGAAGTGAGGCTGAAAACAGATCTCAGGACTATTTTTAGTAGACTTTGTTTAAATTCTTGCTAATGTCCAACTAAATACATTTGAAGTTATTTAGATTGCAATAAAAAAAACCACCTTCCTGCTTCTTTATTTCATTTGATGTCTCAAATCCCACATTATTTATGGAAAGCTGATTTTAAAATAATGTTTTATTTTTGAGTTGACGTAAAACATCAAACTGAAATTTGATTTTTCCATAAACATAAAAAGACATTTTTTTGTTGTTGTTGTGTTTGCTTTTTAACAGATATGTATAAATGACTCTCCTCCCAGTGGAAGTCATTTTTGGAAATTTTAGTGATACAGTCCAGTTTAATTGCTGAATTGTTTACAGGTGTTAAAGATTTCTAGCATTGATAGTAGAGAAATTTTTCCTCATTAATTTTTCTTTTTAGGAATTTGAAGCCCTTTAGAATATAACATAAATACATTTTGCTTCAAGTTTAATAGCAGAAAAAGATCCCTTCCACCTACCTCATCATCTCTGTGTACACTAAGCTCTCCCAAGAGCACTCTGTGTGACTTACCGTGATGACAGGTTTTTGTGTCTGTTTTAATCGTATTTACCATACGCAGGTGCCAATTGTTCTGTGAGCATACACATAACAGCAGGTGGTGCCAGTCAGGATTCAGCCAGGATTAAGGAGGAGGGGCTCTGCATTCCACAGTGCACATAGCCACCTTTTGTTTTCCCATGACAGAAATCCCCTTCCCTCCCCACCTGCCAGCCCTGCTTATCCACCTCACTCTAGGAGCTCAATTTGTGGTGGTGTGCTTTGTGAAAAAGTACCAACCACCCTTACGTCAAGAAAGTCCAAACGATTGTGCAAAGTATGGCCCGTGTTGTTCTTTGGGAAGTCAATTTTAACTTTTAAGATCGTTGTCATGAAATGACAGTTAATTTTCTTGTTAGAAAGTTCTGTAGAACTTCTAACAAAAATGTTAGAAAGTTCTGTAGAACTTCTAACAAAAATGTTAGAAAGTTCTGTAGAACTTCTAACAAAAATGTTAGAAAGTTCTGTAGAACTTCTAACAAAAATGTTAGAAAGTTCTGTAGAACTTCTAACAAAAATGTTAGAAAGTTCTGTAGAACTTCTAACAAAAATGTTAGAAAGTTCTGTAGAACTTCTAACAAAAATGTTAGAAAGTTCTGTAGAACTTCTAACAAAAATGTTAGAAAGTTCTGTAGAACTTCTAACAAAAATGTTAGAAAGTTCTGTAGAACTTCTAACAAAAATGTTAGAAAGTTCTGTAGAACTTCTAACAAAAATGTTAGAAAGTTCTGTAGAACTTCTAACAAAAATGTTAGAAAGTTCTGTAGAACTTCTAACAAAAATGTTAGAAAGTTCTGTAGAACTTCTAACAAAAATGTTAGAAAGTTCTGTAGAACTTCTAACAAAAATGTTAGAAAGTTCTGTAGAACTTCTAACAAAAATGTTAGAGTTGAAATTTAAACAAATACAGCACCTCTCAAATTCTACAGGAACATATAGATATCACCTATATGTGTATAATAAATATAATATTTTTGTTATTGCAAAATCAGTATATATGTGAGTGCTCTCTTTTGTGTGTGTATGCATGCAAGTGACTTTAATGTGTGATTCATACTAATTTCATTTTTTAGAGCATAAACTTTTAGAGCTGAAAGCTTGAAATTTCCAGTTCTAACTGTCTTATTCCATATAAGGAAATGGAGACCCAAAGAAGTCAAGCACCTTGGCCAGAATCATGTACGTAGTTAGTGGCAGACACGGGCCTAGAACTCATGTTACTTGATTCCTAGAAAAGTGTTTTTCCTGTTTCTTACAGGTCATCTGAAAGAGCAATCAAAACTAGCAATGGGAGAGAGAATTTCAGTGTTGATTTTGGGAGAGGTATAGCTTTAGCAAAGCCCCTGATCTACTGCATGAAGGAGACTTGTGATTAACTTGGCAGTGAGCACAAGCCATGTTTCTAACATCAAGTGGGGTACTGAGCTTCTATCTACAACGTTATTACACAAAAGCTAATTTCCCAATATTTACTAATCAATTGCTTCATGAGAACTTGTCGTACCGGTGCTCCCAAACTAGGTCTGTTGTTCAGCTGTGATTTGTGGATGGGGCACTATTTTACTATAGTCACTACTCTGGTGTCCCCAGGAAATTAGATGGCTTCACCTGGTTCAGGTATATATTTTATAATACTTTAAGACCATCTTTAATTAGAACTAAAACAAAAAAAGTAGTTGAAATAAAAATATTATGAGGAAACAATATTTGGGTTTGTTGAACCATTAACACATATGTCCTCTAAAGGTGTTTGGTTTAACAGTGTGTGTAGTTTTATTTTTTAGTCTCTTTCTACCTTGATTCAAGTACCCTCCCCTCCTCCCCCCAGCCCCACAAAACACACAGGCGTGCACGTGAGCGTGCTCTTAGGCCTCTTACAGTTTTTGCAAGCCGACCACAGGGGCTGGACTCATTCTGTAAGTGTTTGAAGTTCAATTACTATGGTACTCTTATTACGAAGGGTTACTGGTGGGGTGCCTTTTATTCATCTATGTATTTATTTATTCTTCACTTAGCACATTTATTGAATGCCTTTTAATGACCAGACACCGTGCCAAATACAAGATACAAAAATGACAGAGACATATTCCTTGGTCTCAAGAAGTTCACGGTTCATAAAGGCAAACAAATACATAAATAGATGATTACTATGTGAGATGATAACTGTGATATGGAAACATACATAGCCTATCACAGGAGCACAGAAAAGGCTAGGCAAGAGCTCCTGCAAGCTATGATGACTGAGCTGAGCTTTAAAGAATAAATAGGAGTGAGCCAGGCACAGGTGTGACTGACAGTACTTCTGGGAGAAAGTGGAGTCTGAGCCATCTCATGAGGTGGTGAAAGCAGCCCTGCACATCCAGTGAAGAAGGGCAAACTGAGTAGAGCGTGGACTCTGGAACGGGACCACCTGCTCTGCTGCATGCAAGGTGTGTATGCATGTAACTTTGGGCAAGTAACTGAGCTTCTCTGTGTCTCAGCTGCCTCATCTGTAAACACTGAGATAATTACAGGACCACCTAATAGGGTTTCTGTGACAATTGTGAGCTAGCATACATAAAGTGCTTAGAATAGGGCTTGGCGATAGTAAGCATTATGTGAGTGTTTTGTTGCTAGTTTGTGAAGTGAAAAACAAGCAGGACAGGTGAGAAATGAGGCTGGAGGCATTGGCAGGTGTAAGATGACTGTATCTCATGTTTATGAGCTTGGACTTTATGCTATGTAGCCAGAGGGGACTTTGAAAGGCTTAAAAAAGTGGGAAAACATGGCGAGATGTTTTTTTGTCACTCTGGAGACTGCAGCGAATGGGAAAATCTGGAGACAGATTTTACCCAGGGAGCTGTAGTGCTAGGGAGACATGATATGGAAATGAACTAAGATGTAGCAGTATGTGTAGGAAGAATAGGGAAATTAGTCTGCTCAGGCCACTGAGGGGACATGGGAGTGAAATGGAGGGGGCGGAGGGGAAACAAGAGTCCAAGATGGCCCCTTGGTGTGTAGTGCTGGTGATTTGGTGGCTGGTGGTACTAGCAACTGACCTAGCTAATGGTAAAGGAGGAGCAGGTACAGAGGGGAAGATACTGGGTCCAGATTTTCACATGTAGGTCCTAAAGTTTCTGATGGAAAAGTCCAGCAAGCATTTGAAGTGTAACACTTGGGAGGAAGGTCAGGACAGATAGAGTTTTAGGAACCATCAGCATGGTGAGGTTGAAATCACGAGTAATAAAATCCCTCATAGGTGGAGGACAGAGTCTTGGAATGACATCTACAGTTACAGCGAAAGCTAAGAAGAGGTCTTCAGGTTGGAGGCAAAGAAGGTAGAAGAGCTCCTGGGAGGACTGGAAAAAGAACATGCTCATGTTTTTGCCCCCAGAGATGATTTCCTCACACATGTGTGCCAATATTAGATTTTAAGAAGTATTCTTCTTAGGTTGCACTTTACATATGTGGCCCCAAGCATGAGTCTAAAGTTGCTAGTGTTCCAAAACTTCAGGCAGGCCACATGGCCAAGGTGAAAATAACTAGTCACATGTTTCTCTCTGGTTAGGTGGAGCAAGCTTACTCTTGCTAATACTGATCACACAGTCACTATGTTCCCGGAGCCACTCAGTAATGCTGGCATTTTTCCTAAGGATGCTCTTAAAAGTCTATTTATCTAGTTCCTGGGATCATTTGGATAGCCATTCCCAAAGAAAGCCAAAACATAGCATCTCTCTCTATGGCATTTTTATTTCTTTCTCATTAGTTTCCCCCTGAGTGTTGGAAAGATGTAGGTTGATAGCCACATCTTTGCAACAATCACTATTGCCTTGATGAGCACATAAGTTTTTCCTGCCCTTATGAGTGAATTTCTTCTACACAATGAAACAATTGTGGAGATACACAAAAATGGAAACAATTAGTTTTGTCTAAACTTGCTGTGCTGCATATAAGTGATGATATAAATTATGAAGATAGTGACTTTGTTAAGTTTAAATGATTTGGATACTGGAAGTCCTTGGAGGATCTTTAAGCGTATGTTACCCTTGTTTGCTTGTACCATTGAATATGTTGTGAATGTCATACAAACTCACATCCCATACAAACTTTGGAAAATTTCAACTTTAAAACATATAATGAAAAGCAAATAAAAATACCTAACACCATTTGAATACTTGATTAGAAAATTGTACAGCGAAGCACTTAAATGTAATTTTTAGATTACAGATGTAAAGTTGATATCACATAAGGATAAAGAGAATGATTAGAAATGACTCACATGATTGTATGTTTGCATTACAGAGAGAAATGACATGGCTAAGAGTCAAAAACTGTAGACAATAAAGATAATAAACTGCCACTTTAGGTTTAGGGAAACAAAAAAGGTATGAAGTCAAATAAGAGATGTTAGACGGAACAGATTAAGGAAGTTAGAGCTGGGCATGGTGGCTCATGCCTATAATCTCAGCACTTTGGGAGGCTGAGGCAAGAGGATCGCTTGAGCCCAGGAGTTTGAGACAAGCCTGGGCAACATAGTGAGACCCTCATCTGTACAAAAAGTTTTCAAAATTAGCTAGGCGTGGTGGTGCATGCCTATAGTCCCAGCTACTTGGGAAGCTGAAGTGGGAGGATTGCTTGAGCCTGGGAGGTTGAGGCTGCAGTGAGCCATGATAGGGCTACTGCACTGGGCAACACAGCGAGACCCTGTCTAATGAAAAGAAAAGAAAAGAAGAGAAAAGAAAAGAAAAGAGAGGAGAGGAGAGAATTAGAAATGAGGATCAAAGTCCTGGAAGTAAAAGGTGAGGTAAGCACAGAAGAGATTCTGTAGAACAAGGAGAGAGCTGCTGGGCAGGTAATCAGTGAGGAGAGGAGAACGCACAAGGTCAGAGAGAAATGAAGAGAAGAACATTTATGCCCTAATTAGTGAGCAATTTGTTATAAAACAGCTTTGCCACCTGGAGAGTAGAATTTAAAAATTTATTGGCACGAACTACCAAATCAGCCAAATTAGAGCAGGCCATCTTCCAGGTCTCCAGCACAGGCTACAGTGGACAGTGTGCAATAGCAACCCTTGTCATGAAGGCGGAGAGAAGAGGAAGTGTACTTCAGGAAAGCACGGGCTAATCCAATCAACGAAGATCAGCATAAGGTCATAAGAGTTCCATGTTGCAATCAGTCTTTTAAAAGCCAAAATTACCTTTTGCCTTTGGCACTGCTATCTGATACCTTAAATGGAGTATTTTGCTACCAAATGAAACTAAATAGGACAAGAAAGAGCTGCTCATCTCTTTATTGCACCATCATTGATACTAAACTTTTCCACAAAAGGGTAATGTTTCTCTTTAACCTCAGGGGCACATGTGAGTCATTGCTCTTTCAGATCCTAACTATCCAGTGATATCTATTAAGTCACCACTTGTACCTTTAACACAGTTTCTATTCAGTCCTCCTGGCCTCCCGCAAGGACTGCATTAGTCTAGTCAACCAGTAGTGCTGCTGCCGAAGTTACCTATTCTTCATGCTTGACTCTAAGAACCTCTTCCTTTCTTTCTTCTTGTTTTCTAGGCATAGGGATTTCCAGCTTTACAACATGCTATGAATTATCCTCCTCTGTGTTAACACTTGTGTTAACCTCATCCGAAGTCCTGGGGGATGTCCTGTTCAACCTGCCATTTCACCCATAGTAGAGTTGGTCCACAGTGAAAAGTGGTGAAAAGACTGAAGTCTTTATACCACTTGCATATATTGTTCCTGATCCTGCGTGTACATTTCAGAGAACTGGTGAATAAACTCTCCGCTCCATGCCTTTCTGCTCAGAGAGGTTACATCTTATATTCTCCAAATTTAAATTAAAATGTAGCTTCCTTCATTTGCTTCTCTTGTTTCTTGGTATATTTTCCCTTCTTCTAGACAAAGTTGATCAGCTTTTTATTTTTTTATTTTTTGTACTCTACTGAGATCTATTCCTAGAATGCCAGCATTGTCCACCTTTATCATTAAAAAAAAGTCTGCATCATGAAACTATGAGTCCTAATTAGAAGGGTAGTGGTGATTTTCTAACCAAAAATTACTTGGCATAATTTACTCTGGGATTAATAAGTATAAATGCATTGTCCCATCTTTGAAATTTTTCTTTTACTTCTGACTAGACATGGCAACTCTGAGTTTGAATCCAAACACAAATGTACTTACTTGAATTTCCTGGTTTTGGTCCATCATAAAAGCAATAAGTTTGACAGGAAGACAGCCTATCAGTTTGCCCTACAAGTCTTATCAGTATAACTTTGGAACCAACCAATCCAACACTCTTTATTTTGTTGGGTAGCAACTACTCCTGCTTGTTCACCCGACATTACATTTTCTTCCAGCAAAGATCCATCAACCTTATTCCCTTGTGTGACTTCCCTGATTTCACTCGTGGCTGCCATTAAATGCACTGTGTCTTTTGAAAACACTTAAACACTAATTAAATTAATTTATGGTATATGTCATTAGTATCCCATTTTGCCTTGGTCTTTTCTGCCCAAAACAATAAGCCCCCGAGACATTCAAAATGCTTGTGTTTAGTTGCTTAGTAAATCCTTAGTATCCATCATAACATCAAATCTTGATGACAGTAATGGTGATGGATAAAGGAGAAAATTACACCCCAGAGAAGTTATGAGTCAAGAATGTCTAGTTAGATTTACTTAGAACAAAGTAACAGACAAGATAAAGCCCTAAGAATAAGTCTGGGTTCATTTTAAATTGAGATGACAACCATCCCATAGTCCTAAAATAATTACTGCTTCTAATATAGACTGCACATGATTTAATTACTTCACATTGATTTTAAAACAAAACCTACATGCAATAGTTGCTGACAGAAGTTTAGACCCGATGCCTTTTCAGCCAGGATAGGTACAAGCACTGGCGCGTGTGACAGCAGGCTTCAAACCTCATTCAGCAGACGGGATAGTAGGCTAGATAATAAACAGCAATTAGAACTCACTGTGATAAAGGCCATGGTAATATTGTTAGAGAGTGCTACAGAAATGCACAGTAGTAGTTCTCTACTCAGACCAAGAGATCAGGCAGGGCTTCATAAACATCTCCATGTAATTTGCCTTACCCGGGCTGTTGCCTACCCTGGCTGCCTAGATAATGCTTGCTTCTCTTCCGAGACTCAACTCAAATCCACCTTCTCCTTAATCCAGATTTATTCTTTCCTTGATCAGCTAACATGCGCAGTGTTCTGTCCCCTGCACACTACCCTCAACCCCAGGAGGATTCATTGCTTCCTTTTAGTTGCTATAAGGGCTTTACAATCTGGCCAGGCTTAGTGGTACACCCTGCTCCTTTCCCATTTTGAATAAAATCTGCACCATAGGGCCAGAGAAATCAGAGAGAAGAGCAATTACCTTGAGTAGGTATATTAGTTCATTCTCATGCTGCTAATAAAGACATACCCGAGACTGGCTAATTTATAAAAGAAAGAGGTTTAATTAACTCACAGTTCCCAGTAGCTAGGAAGGCCTCAGGAAACTTATAATCATGGCGAAAAGGGAAGCAAACACATCCTTCTTCACATGGCAGCAGGAGAGAGAAGAATGAGTGCCCTGTGAAAGGGGGATGCCCCTTATAAAGCCATCAGATCTCATGAGAACTAACTCACTATCAGGAGAACAGGATGGGGGAAACTGCTCCCTTGATTCAATTATCTCCATCTGGTCCCTCCCACGACACATGGGGATTATGGGAACTACAATTCAAGATGAGATTTGGATGGGGAGACAGCCAAACCATATCAGTAGGCATCTAAAAACTCAGCCCTCCACTGTCTGTGTTTCTCTCCCCAGCACTTTTGCCATTACCCTATAGATATAATGATGGAGCTCTGGCTTCATGATAACTTCAGGGTTACCTGGTATGGAAAAGAGAGACAATAAAACTTGGTTTTTGTAACAATTTTTATGTCCTCAAGCCAGATCCCCTTTCCAGGACATCTCCAGCATGTAGGGATGATTCAGAGACCCAGACATAAGGAGTCACTTAAGCAAACCAGAGAAGCATATACAGTTGGAATTTGGGGTGGTGGGTAGAGAGGGGCAATGTTTTTTGAATGCTACAAAGTTCAAATGCCAATCTGTTCTCTTCCTGCCGGACTGGTCTTTGTGATGTTCAAATAAAGTGAGCATGAGATATTCTCAAAGTTAGAAGGAGTCTGTAACTATTTGCTTACAGGCAGAGGTTTGGGTAGGGGACAGGGTGTGAGAGCACCTCAGTTAAATTGTGTACGGAGGTTCTGAATTGTTTAGGCAATAGCAATGCATTATGCAATACTCAGCCAAAATGTGAGTGTAATAAATTAATAGAACTTTTGGATGACTTTTTCCCTTAAAATAGACACTTGGCATAATTTTTTTTTTTTTTTTTTTTTTTGCTGTCTTGTCTCTCCAGCAAGTGTTTAATCTTTATGTGTTTAGATTGTTTATTGGGTGCTATAATTATAGATATTTGAATATTAGAGTGTCCCTACTCAAACTGTTTTCATCACAAAATGTATGACAATTATATTGTGCCATTAGTAGACCTGCTTTTCTTCTCGACTCTGTCACAAGGACAGTGTCTTTTTTTTTTTTTTTTTTTTTTTTTTGAGGGGAGGTCTTGCTCCATCTCTCAGGCTGGAGTACAGTGGTGCAATCTCAGCTCACTGCAACCTCCGCCTCCCACGTTCAAGTGATTCTCCTGCCTCAGCTTCCCAAGTAGCTGGGATTACAGGCGCCCACCACCATGCCTGGCTAGTTTTTGTATTTTTGGTAGAGATGGGGTTTCACCATGTTGGCCAGGCTGGTCTCCTGACCTAAGGTGATCCACCTGTCTCGGCCTCCCAAAGTGCTGGAATTACAGTAGTGAGCCACCGTGTCTGGCTGAGGGACAGTGTCTTTTGATTCTTGGAGTTTTGCACAACACCTGGCACATAAATATTCCTCAGCTAATTTATTTAAAAAATAATAACTAGAGGAGCTCTGATTCTTGACTGGACACATGCAATTTAGACTTCTACTAAATAAAAAAAGAACACTAGAATAGAGAATAGATGCACTGGGATTGTGCAGCCAGGAGAAATCAATCTACCTAGATTGCCTATGTGATTCAGGTGGAACTAGGATGCCAGCCTGAAGCGTAGAAAGAATTCCCAAGTATTCTACAGAAGACTACAGGCCAGAGGTAGAACAAAGCAAGAAGAATGGCATTTTTTCTCTACAGTCAGCTTTTAAAACAGCATACGGTCTTGTTTCCATGGCAAGAAAATCTCCTAGGTGCATTGCCAGGAGATTCTCCCTTAGAAATTAAAAAGAAGAAAGAAAAGAAGGGAAAGAAGCCACCCATAGCTGTGTTTTCTGAAAACAGCTTGACTCTCCTGCTGATCATCGACGGCTGCCACGCCACGGAAACACCTCATCCAATGGTGCCCAGGCCGCCTCTACGCAGCATGCTGGAAGCTTGTGATTAATTTTGTTTGACAGCAGCAAAAAGTATGCCCTACGTTGGATGCCAGCTGATTATTTCCAGTATGTTTGCTGCTGAAAATTCCATTAATGATTTTTAATATCCATTCAACTTGAAGAGAGGAGAAAAGTGCTTTTCTGAAAAAGGAAAAGTAAATTGGACTCAGTCTTATGGAAAATCCAAATCTACAGAGTGAACGTTTGATGGCAGATGAGTTGAGGAAAATGTGAGCAATTTCAAAATTTTTTTACGTGAAGGATTTGCTCTATTATTGGTAATATATCTGTAGAGAATGTGTTGTGAATAATAACATATTTTGATTGATGTGCTTTCATTTTCTTCCCAGTGTACAAATATGGCAACTTTTAATGTTCAACTTGATGTGTATTTATTAATTGCTTACTGTGTTCAAGACCCTTATTAAATATTGATTGAACTGAAATGAGCCCTGGGGGAACCTACCATCTAAGACAGCAATTCTCAACTGTGGCTCCACATTTGAATTCCCAGGGGAACTTGAAAAATTCTGGGCCCTCAGAAATTCTGACTTAATTGTTCTGGAGTAAGGTCTGTGGCCTCAGTATTTTTTCATATGTCTCCTCATGTGCATAATATGTAATTAGATTTGAGAATCAACAGCTGATATAAAAGGAAGTGAAAAGGCAGTACATGGCCAAGTCCCTGTAGATATGCAAAGGACACTGTTTTAAAATCATTTATCTATTTGAAAAGTATGATGATTTAAAAGGAGAGGAAATTACATTTTTTTGAGGCTGCCAGAAAAAAACTCCATGAAGGAAGTAATATTTAAGTAGACTCTCAATGTGTAAAATTTTGATCGGCAGAGATAGGTATCCAGGTAGAGGATCAAAGACTAGGATGAGAAAAGAATAAGGCCAGTTCTGTGAATACCCAGTGACTAACACAAGGCTAGGAGAAAAGGAGTATTGATTGCTATTATAAAGCATTACCATTAATATGTAATTTCAGCTAGCTATGAACTCAAATACGTTTATGAAGTAATGAGATATTTTAGCATTTTTTTCTCATGTGCTACTCCTAAAAGTTACTCTTAAAACAACAGGGTTGACAAATATGTTTAATATATGGCAAAATAGACATAGATTTAAAAATGCACTTTAGTATCTTGCTATTTGATTGTGTGGTCCTCAGATGAGCAGCATTGGCATCACCTGTAACTTGTTAGAAATGAAGCTAATGCAGGATGTTGGCCCCCACCCCAAACCTAACAAATCAAAGTCTGCATTTTAATAAGATCTTTGTGTACACACTAAAGTCTGAGAAGCACTACTTTAGCATCTCAATTATTATTACATTATTAGCAGTAATTAATTGAGAAGAGTAGAGAAGTACGTTTCAACAAATTAAATTTCTACCTATGACTGTGAACGATGAATAGTGTTGATATGCAATAATCTTTTCTTTCAATCATATCTTTTTATATATGTCACCCTATATATCCCCATATAGTAATGTACTTATGTGTGATTAATACATCTAAATATGTTTCTTTGTATAGGTGTTCTCTCCAGTTCCAGTCTTTATGTCTAAAAAGATAACATCTTTTCATTTTAGACCTTGGTAATGTTTTCTGTGCTTTTCAAAAAGATGTCCTCAACATCACCTCTGAAAATGCATTATGATCTCCTGTGCCTCTGCCATCTCATTGCACACTGGTTTCGGTGGCATGTGGCAGATGGAACAGAAAGACATGAGGCTGGGAAACTCATAGATTCCAGAGGAAACTTGAGGCACACAGGAAGCTGGTTCAGCTTGGGCATGCAAGCATTATTTACCTCTTTAATCTGAATTAAACAAGTAACAGTAAGTAATGATTCAGAGAAGTTTTGTTAAGTGGCAGAATATTTTATGGATGGGTATTTTCTTACAGTGCTTCTGACCTAAGAAACGGCAGCCTATCAACAAATAATTATTAAAACATTCCTTTTCCCAAATCGTATTGGATTTGGTTACCTGCTTAAACACCCTTAGGCTGATGGTTAGCAACAAGATCTTAGTATACTTTAGTTACAAAATCATCTGCTGTTCTCAAACTTTAGTGTGCGATAGAATATCAGTGGATGTTGCTCAAAATAGATACTCCAGATCCCACTGAGAATCTGATTCAGTAATTTGGGGGTAAGGTCCAGGACTCTTTTGAAACAAGCATTCCAGGAGATTTTGTTGTTGTTACTAAGAATACTACATTTTGAGAAAACAAAAACAAAAAACACATTGCTTTAAGACAGGGGTATCCAATCTTTTGGCTTCACTGGGCCGCATTAGAAGAATAAATGTCTTGGGCTACACATAAAATATAGTAACACGAACGATAGTTGATGAGCTTAAAAGTACTGCAAAAAAATCTCATAATGTTTTAAGACAGTTTACAAAATTGTGTTGGGCTGCATTCAAATCCATCCTTGGCCGCATGTGGCCTGCGGGCCAAGGGTTGGACAAACTTGCTAAGGCATTGTATTCTTAGGAATTTACTATTTTCTTTCGGTATCAGTATTATCTAAACTAAAGCTACGCACCAGGCTAATACCTAAGCTTAGTAAACCATAGATTGATCCACCAACCTTTTTGAAGGAGATGATATTAGAAAATGATTTTGTATCCATTGTAGGATTTCATATTCTAAGCATTGACATATGTAATCTATTGGGCCAGGCACAGTGTAATGCCAGCACTTTGTGAGGCTGAGGTGAGAGGATTACTTGAGCCCGGGAGTTCAAGACCAGCCTGGGAAGCATAACGAAACCCTGTCTCTGTAAAAAATACAAAAATTAGCCAAGCCTGGTGGTGCATACCTGTGGTCCTAGCTACTCAGGCAGCTGAGGCGGGAGGATCACTTGAGTCTGGGAGGTTGAGGCTGCAGTAAACCGTGATAGTACCACTGTACTCCAGCCAGGGCAACAGAGTAAGACCCTGTCTCAAAAAAAGAAAAAAAAAAAACTGAAAAAATAAGACAGCTGTATTATACAATGCATTAGATTTGATTAGTGACCATGTTGCATTTTTTGTAAGAAAAAATTCACTAACTGTACAGTTTTTACAAGAAACCTATAATAGAATCTGACTTTACTGGTTGGTGCTGGATGTTTTCTTAGCTACTTACCATTAAAGAAAGGAAAAAGAAGGAAGGAAGGAAAGAAGGAAGGAAGGAAGGAAGGAAGGGAAGAAGGAACATGAATAACAACTTATGTAAATAGATGATCATTGCAACTTTATTTATCAATAGCAAAATAAACCTAACTCTCAAACCATAGGAACATGGATAAACATATTTTGGCATACCCATAGGAGAGAAAAATGCAGTCATTTAAATTAATATTTTTCAAAATATTGAATATAAGAAGATTCTCATCATATCATGTTAAGAGAAGAAATAAGATTTAAAAAGTTAATTTTAATAATGATAAAAACATACACATGAAAAATTGAGTGGAAAAACAACACAATGTAAATTGGTCATATCTTGAATATTAAATTGTAGGTGGTTTTAATTTTTTTCTTTCTAACTTTCTGTATAGTCCAAAATATTTTCAATAAGTTTATGTGACTTTTATAATTAGGTAAAAAAAAATTTTAAGAAGTATAATTTTTAAAATCTGGGTTGTTTTAAGAGTGGTTCAGCTTAAGAACAGGTGGATGGACTAAATGAACCTTTTTAACATTGCTTCAGTTCTAAAGACCATCTGCCCAGTCCTATTAACCAGTAACTACAGAAAGAAGTTAGATCCAATTAGTAAAGGCAGAAAGAAACATTGCCTTTGTGAGTTCTGTTTCCCTGTGCATATCTGCCACCTTAAACTAATGGAGCTATTTATTGAGTTCAAGCTGTCCCCAACGAAAGCTGCTTTTTACTTTGCTTCTGTGCAAATCTTGTTCACTTTTTACAACTGGCTACAGAATCAAAGCCAGCAGCTGGCCTCCATGCTACTACACAGAACAATAGCCTGAGCCCAAGCTTCTGAAGAGCAGGCCTGCCCCAGTATCTTGAATGTATGCCTGCATAAAAAGCAGACACCACCCAGGATGGCTGTATCTGCTGCTTCTGCTCAGGCAGTAAATATGTAAAATAGGAAGCCAAAACACATCCAGGGCCACATCTCATTGAGTGCCCTTGGGGGGAAACTCAATTGGACATCAGTTTATCTTTAAAATAGGAATCATAATGGCTTCCTCTGATTATGTCCTGTAAAGTATATAAGTGGTTTATAAACTACAGTTTTAACATACTGGTTGTTAGGTGATCGTGTTCCCATTTTTTATGTGGTTGCTTTCTCAAGCACATACATAATCATGCTAAAGAACGGTAAAATAGCAGCAGTCCTCCTGCCATGCCCAGGACTTATGCTACTTTGTAATGTGATCTCAAAATGGACTGTAAATGGATGGCCCAGTGGTATTTATTATCACCACTTAAAGTGAACCCATATGCCAGTGGCATATTGAGCTAACAATCTGTGATGTCATTGGCAGAAGCAGCTCTTCCAGAAGGCAGAGTTGCTGAGGATTCTCTATGACATTACTCTATCAGCATATTGGATGTTGCTCGTCAATAGTAGCCGTGGTGTCGGGGAAATAAGGTCAAGTGAAGCAGTGAGTTACTGGTAACTTAGGGGTTACCACCTGTCAAAAATCATACAGATTATGATTTTTTTCCAAAATTAACCTGAAATCTCATAGGATTATCACCATTTATATGTTTTGATTCTTCTCATCAGTCCTGTGAGGTACTGTTATTATTGCCATTTTAAAGATGAGGAGACTGAGGTTAGGAAAGATTAAGGAAGGTGCTCAAGTTCACTCATTTGGGTGGTGAACCCAAATTTGAAACCTCCCAGGTAGGCTGAATGCAGAGCCTCTGCTGCTCACCACTTTATAACGTTTACCTGTAAATATTCTGAACAAAGTTTAAAAAAGGAGCACTTAATCACTTAGGAAAACCAACTGCCAGAGAGTATTTTAGGTTTAGCCATTCACATAAAAATAATGCAAACTAGTAGAGTTACTTTCTTCTTAAACTCATATTTTAATATACAAATAAGATTTCTAAATCCCAAAGAGAGAATCTTGGAAGATAGTTGCAAATATGAAAAGTTGAAGGCTATTTCATTAAACCCATTTACGTTTTTTTAAAAAAGGAAACTTGAAACCCAGAGACGTTGACTTGCTCCCAAAATTCTTAGAATAAACACGTGGAAACTGCACAAGACCTTAAGGGTCCTACCTCCTACCTCATGGTTCAGTGCCCTTCATGTGACCTTGTCCATATATTTAAGTAGAATTATGAGATTAAAGTTTGTACCTTTTCAGTATAGTTGACCGACTCTTCTTGGAATCTATTGAGTTAGTGTTTTATTATGCTCTTTGTTAGCCTCGATTGTTTCCCGGATACAATCATGGCTTGATTTTGTCACTGCTCCCTTAAACTTGAGATTCTAACCTACATGAACTGGGAGCAATTTTCAGTGTTGTTTTGTGCTTTTTGCTTCTGGCCATGTACTGTGAGGCTGTGTTTGAGGTTGTCCCCGTAGGTACTCATTCAGATAGAATTGCCTGTGAATTGTTCCTTAAACTTTTAATTTCAGCATCTTTAAATTGCACTTACTTGTTTTCATGTTTGGTTTTCTTTTCTAGATTTTAAGTTATCTGTGGTCAGGGAACATGACTTATGTGCTTTAGTTTTCTTACTGCTCGTCACACTATGTGGCACATTGCAATAAATGTTTTTTAAGTAAATAAACTTGGAAATAATTATAATTGATTTCTTCTTTTTTAAACTTCTTCGTTGATACCTGCCTTTCTTCTCATTTATCTGAATCAATGTGTCATTATGGACAGTGATCTTGTTGGAGGAAATTAAACATTTCAATTGCACGTGGGCTCTCTTCTTACTATACTTTTTCCTCAGCATGCCACAATTACCCAAATTCAATAAAGCAAAAATAATGATACCTAATTAAAGATGAAAACATAAAGTCGTTTATCTATTAATTTAAATAAAGTGAACCTGTTATCACCCTGAGAATTTTTTTTTTTTTTTTTTTGAGATGGAGTCTTGCTCTGTTGCCCAGGCTGGAGTGTGGTGGTGCGATCTCAGCTCACTGCAGCCTCTGCCTCCCGGGTTTAAGGGATTCTTCTGCCTCAGTTACCCGAATAGTTGGGACTAGAGGCACCTGACACCACACATGGCTAATTTTTGTATTTTTGGTAGAGACGGGGTTTCGCCATGTTGACTGGGCTAGTCTCGAATTCCTGACCTAATGTGTTCCGCCTGCCTCGGCCTGTCACAGTGCTGGGATTACAGACGTCAGTCGCCATGCCCTGCCCACCCTGACTTTCTTAATGCCTTGATTCTGGAGGATGCAGTTCTTAGTAACCAGGCTGTGGCCCTCTGATGTAACTTTAGAGAATGATTAACATGTCACGTGGTTAGCTGGGCTCTGAGATGATCTCTGTAACAAAGCAGTCTACATTGTTCTCCCAAGGAAGAGATTTGTGTGTGACTTATTGAAGGGGAATTGGTTTTGTTTCTTAGAACGGTTTATCATTTCACAACCTGTATTTTCCATTGTTATTCTTTATCACTAGAAGGTTTTAAAACTCAGAAATAATAAAAGAGAATATAAAAACTCTGGAAGCCTCTTAAATTGATTGATGGGAAAATAGTTTAGTTTGTTAAGTACATTGTCTGGTAGACCTTCTTTCCATACTAGGAAATGGAATGGAATATATACATTCCATTCGAGAATATATATTAAATATAATGTTTGAATATATATTCAAAGAAGTTTGTTGCATTCATTCCTGGCATGGCCTCCTTACTAGTTTTTCTAACTCTGCCATGTCACCTGTTGTTTCGTGGATGAGCAACCTATTGAGTTTGTTCTCTATACCTTTGTCCCTGTAGAACTGTGTTTGGAATCAGGCTTGTTAGGACAGAAAATCAATCGGAGTTGTGAAAGAAAGTGAAACCCTGGATGCATTGGAGAGGACATAGCAGAATGGAGAGGAAGAGGATGGGCATAGGAAAGAGACACAGGAAAGCCCATTAGGGACAGTATAGTAACCTCCATGTTAATCTACTAGTCACAAGTGCATTGAGACTACAAACAAAATTGTAAGAGGATATTTTAATCTATAAAATAAATGAAAAATTATTTTCAAGCTCTTCAAAGGCATTACTTACAAAATATGTATTATTCTTATCAGACTCCAGAAATCGATCATTTTGTATATTTTAAAGAATTTGGTTTCTTGAAAAAATGTAATAGAGAGTTTTCACTAACTCAGTCTATCTTTTCTTTTAATTAGTTCTGTTAATAAGATTTTACTGCATAGGTAGTACCACTTACCACCTTACATTTTTAAACTCAGTATTAATTGTGCATAGGGAAGCTTCTTGCACATTGATGGTCTTTAATTTTGAAAGGAGTACCTCTAAATCATCATTAATTTATTCTAAGAGCTTGACTTCATTCCAGTCTAACTGTCTTTGATGCCCAGCAAGAATGGCTGGGCATTTTCTTCCAATTAATACAGCTGGCTTCTGTTTAAATGAATTAATCACGAATTCAACTGTCTTGATTCTCGTAGTATGACATTAGGAACCATTTAGTAATAAAGTAAGAAGCTTAATACTTAATGGAAAGAAAGATCTGTTTTTTTAATGCAAAAATTTTATTATCATTCCAGTTCCTGGGGAAAATTTTGCTGCCATGGCAAGTATTCTTAGCAGACTCTTGCCTTGTTCTCCTACTTTGGAATCAGGGTGTTTAGATGATATACCATAGACAGGGACTTGAAATGTAAAGATTGAATTTACAAAGCTATTTTTTTTAGCTTTACTTAAATGCTTATATACACAGCCATTAGTATGGTGACCACATATTTTAAGTACTCAATAAATATTTGCTGGATAAATAATACATGAAAACACGTATTTTTTTTTTTTTTTGAGATGGAGTTTTGCGCTTGTCAACTAAGCTGGAGTGCAATGGTGCAGTCTTAGCTCACTGCAACTTCCGCTGCCTGGGTTCAAGTGATTCTCCTGCCTCAGCCTCCAGAGTAGCTGGGATTACAGGTGCGCATCACCACACCCAGCTAATTTTGTATTTTTAGTAGAGATGGGGTTTCACCATGTTTGACAGGCTGGTCTCAAACTTCTGACCTCAGGTGATCCGCCCGTCTCGGCCTCCCAGAGTGCTGGGATTACAGGCATGAGCCACTGCACCAGGTCATGAAAACATGTATTCTTTTAATTAGTTCTATTAATAAGATTTTACTGCATATAGGTAATACTACTTACCAAATTACATTTTTAGCTTGGAACTGAATTTGCATGGTCTATATTTTGCATCTAAATATCCAGTAAGTGTGTAGAATAACTCAGGCTTCATTTGGTATAAAAACGCCTTCCTATTTCAAACTTGTTTTTTTTCCCCTTTTTGTGGAGAGTGGGGTCTCACTATATTGCCCAGGATAGTCTCAAACTCCTGGGCACAAGGTATCTTCCTGCCTCTTCTTCCCTAAATTTTGGGATCATAGGTGTGAGCCACCTGGCCCAGCCAAGCATGCCTTCTTATTTGTATAGAATCATATTTTCAATTTTTTTAGTGACTATACATTTTACTAATTTATTTAATAATTAGTTTTATATGGCTAATGATGAAATGCATAATTACTAAAACTTAATGAAACGTGCATTTAGTTATAATGCACAATTTTACCTTCCATTTTGTCAATCGTACTTTTGCAAAACCAATTCAGCTTCAATATTTGAAACATATGTGAGAGTATCCCTCTATTGTGGATAAGAGCTTCGTACTAGAATATTTTAAAAGTGAAGAGAGAAAACGTGGCTCAAATAGTCTGACCAATTACTTAGCATCTTGTGAATATTACAAAGAAAAATGCCTTCTAAAATGTGTTTGTATTTTCTTCTTAACGTTTTATATATTTAGTGTTCATTTTTATATTTCCTGAAAGGAAATATGTAAATTTTGCTATAAAATCGAGCCATCTTTGTAAAAGTGATCCTGCTTAAAATTACAAAATCTATCTGAGAGTCATTTATAAAGGTGTGAATGTATCTGGCAGCCTGGGCAAGCAGTCTGAGTTACTTCCTGATATATACATTTGGCCCTTATCTGGAGAGGACTGTACATGTCTGTATAATTTCTTTTGTTGTTTTATTTTTTTAAATTTTTAAATTTTATTTTATTATTATTATACTTTAAGTTTTAGGGTATATGTGCACAATGTGCAGGTTAGTTACATATGTATACATGTGCCATGCTGGTGTGCTGCATTGTTGTTTTATTTTGAGAGACAGTGTCTCACTTCGTTGCCTATGCTGGAGTGCAGTGATGCAATCATAGCTCACTGTCACCTTGATCTTCTGGGCTCAAGTGAGTCTTCTGCCTTAGCCTCCCTGAGTAGCTGGGATTACAGGTGCTCGCCACCATGCCTGGCTAATTTTTAAAATATTTTTGTAGAGATGGAGGGTCTTGCTATGTTGGTCTCAAACTTTTGGGCTCAAATACTCCTCCCACTTCACCCTCCCAAAGCGCTAGGATTACAGGCTTCAGCCACTGCACCTGGCTCTGTAATCTCTTAATTCCTCTTGAGTTAGATAGCAGAATTGGCTTGCATCTGGTCTTTATCTTCCTCCAGATGTAAAATCCAGGCCCATCACTGTTGGGTATAAGGAGTGAGAGAGAGGGGTTACTATTTATTCCACTCAGTGTGTAATCTATTAAGCCCTCTGAGCCAATCAAAATCATGTGGGCATTGAAGTTCAAAACCACAACATAGATGCATTCATTTATAGTGACATTGTTGCTTAGGCAACAAGAAATCTGAATCTCCTATTAAACTAGCCAACAGCAAGAATTTAAAATATTTTATTTTATATATCTGGTATTTTGAATCAATTAATAGAGTTTTTTTTCTGAGAATGACTAATAGATACTTAGTTTTCATACAAAGTTTAGGTGACATAAGAGTTACGGCTGATAGCTGCCATAACATAGAAGCATAAAATTTCATGGTTTAGCACAAAACATGCTTAAATTTTGTTCACATAAAATCTAGTGGAATCGTTGTGGGGTGAGGGGGTGAGGATCTTGTATCTCTGATTTGCGATTGTTCGGGGACTCAAGTTTATAAAGATGTGTTTACACGGTCATCTTGATAGAGACTGCTTCTAACCATTGGCTTCTGAGGTCTCGTTAGCAGTTGACATCCAGCTGGTCCACTGAGGAACTGAGAATGTGCAGGATGGTGCAGGAGATTGTCACAGGCCAGGCCTGAAAGTGGCGTGCATCTCTTTTGCTTACATTCTGTAACCTGTTGTATGGTCAAAGCACATGCAGAAGGGGTAGGAAAATGAAGTCTTCCATGGAGTAGTCATTTTCCAAAAACAACGCTTCTCTGTGAAAAAGCAGCATGAATTTTTGGTGGTCAGCTAGCTTCCTCTGCTGTGGGAAGAGAGTGACTATGATTGCTGTATTCAAGCACCAACTGAAAATCGTCAGTGTAATGGTATTGAAAATAAGGCTATTTTTAAAAATGGAAACGAAACGCGATTAAATCCATAATTGAATACATTTAGGACTTTGCTTTAGAACTAGAGGAGATGTTATAGCATCAAGTAGAGTCCCATTTAGATGATTAAGGAGATATTTTGGATTTCTGAAATTAAAAATAGTTTTTCCTGTTTTTCCCTCTGGAAAGTAAAAAATAGTTTTTCCCAAGGGTAAAAGGGGAGAAACTATTTTTTACTTTTTAAGTAAAGGTCTAAAATTCCCTCTTTCTGTAGTTGCTCAAATAAAACTGCTAAGCAAGATGATTTTCTCTGAACATACGTGCAACACATTACCTTGTATTTAGTGATTATGACATATGAACATTCTATGATGCTAAATTAAATTTCTGTAATTAAGAATAACAATATCCAGATAGTATTTTGCAAAGTACTTCCAAGTCCTTATGCCATTTTAGCCTCTCAATGAGCCTCTGAGAGAGACAGAACAAGTGTTCTTAGCCCCTTTTTGGACAAAGAATATGAGACTATCAGTGTTTAAATGACTAGTTTAAAATTCTTTGGGTTGTTAAGGGTTATAATCCAAATAATCCAGGATTATTGTTAAGATTATAGTTCTCATTGTAATCCTGTAATGTTCTTTTCATTATCTGCAATGACTGGATCTATCTGGACACTAGAAACGGCCATTCGTGTACGTTTTTCAGGTTGTACAATTTATAAAAATGCCCACAAATGCAGTTGATGTGAGAATCACCAAGGTGACTGAAGTAACGGATCAGCATTACTGGTTTATTCATTTTGCTGATACAGACATATTTTGTGTATTGCCTTTTAAGTATTTATAGAGTAGAATTCCAAGAGCTGACAGATATTAAGATATTAAGACTTTTTCTTTTCTTTTTCTTTTTTTTTTGAGATGGAGTCTCACTCTGTCGCCCAGGCTGGAGTGCAGTGGCCCAATCTTGGCTCACTGCAACCTCCACCTCCCAGGTTCAAGCAATTCTCCTGCCTCATTCTCCTGGGACTACAGGCGTGTGCCACCATGCCCAGCTAGTTTTTTTTGTATTTTTAGTAGAGATGGGGTTTCACTGTGTTAGCTAGGATGGTCTTGATCTCGTGACCTCATGATCCACCTGCCTCGGCCTCCCAAAGTGCTGGGATTACAGACGTGAGCCACCGCGCCCGGCCTTGGAATTTGTATTTTAAAATCCATGGACAGGTCAAAACATGTTAAGCAAGAAGAAGATATATCTAAGAGATAACTTTGTAAAAGTCTTCAATTATTTGAAGGGCCTGTTAGAGAGTGGCTGGCTGTGAGGAACCTGGCTGGGAACACATGCCAGCAAAGACCTAAGGACGGCCTGAGAAATTTGGAGGAAGGGGGAACTTTCCTTCAGAGTTATTAAGCACTAAAACCAGTCACTAGTGTTTTTAGAGAACCTTTACATAATTTTCTTGTAAAAGGAATAGATTCTTCTGGAACAGTTCATTAAAAGCTCTGCATGTATCTAGGAGGGAAAAGGAAAAGATGAAAAAAATAGAGGACTTAGCAAGATCATTTTTTAACTTCAAGTCCCCATAGGCTGTAAGTTAATTTACTGACAAACTATAGAAACTGTAAAAGATTTTTCCTTTTATATGACACAAAAGCTGGTCCAATGTTATATATTAACTGGTCATTGATCAGAAGAGTATAACAGAAATCATATCTTTAATATAAATATTAAAATTGCCTCAGAACACATTTAGGAACCACTGCATCCTGTTAATATAGACACTGACTACACTTTGCCTGCCTTTTAAATGTAACTGTCTCAGACATTGATAAAAGGCACTCACATCTGCAAGATTCCCCTTGTTTTTTGTACAATGAAACTCTTTTTATCATAAAATCAACACAATTAAAAATTCGAAAAGAGGTTTGACTCCCATATTACTTTAACAACATCCCATTTATGTTCTAGTCTTTATTTATATTCATAGATTTTTTTTATACAGTTGCAACACAACAAAAACATACATCATTCTTTTATTGACCACAGGTTGACTTAGTGCCAACTCTCTGGCAGGCCCTGTTCTAGGGCTGGAGACACTGCTGTGAATTAAACAAAGTCCATGCCCTTGTGGCAACTATATTCTAGTGGAAGTGGGTGGGGCTAGACAATTAACACATAAGCCAACAGGTAGATAATGTCAAGTGGCAAAAAGCAAGCAAGCAAGCAAACAAACAAACAAAAAAACCACGAAGAAAACTGAAGCACAGAAAGGGACAGAGAGTGATGGGGGGCTCTTCAAACTTGGGGAGTTAGGGAAGGCTCCTTTGAGCAGAGGATTTGACTGGAGTGAACAGAGGAAGTTACTTCTGTGACTGTCAGGGTAAGTCCATTCCTGACAGAAAAACAGCAAGTATATAATGCCTGGGAAGGGAACTCGCTTGGCATGCTGGAGGAGGAGTAAGGGACACCAGTAAGTCTGGAGCGTAGGGAGCAAGAAAGAGTGGTCAGAAATGAGATCAGAGGTCAGCAGAGACCACCTGATAAGTACCACTGTGTATGGCAGGTATTATGTTGGGTGATAGGAATACAGACCTGACCAAGACAGTTCTTAACTTCAAAAAGGTTACATTCAAATAGGCACATAGATGTATAAGCAAATAAGGAACAACAAATTGTGTTAGGTGCCATTATAAAGAAAGGAGTATAGTGCTGTGAGCAGTGTAACTAACTGCATCAGTGAGATGATGATGCCGAAATGGGATTTGAAGGATGAGTACAAGGTTTCCAGGAAAAGAAGAGAGGAAAGAGTATTTCAAACAGAGAGAGCAGCACATGGTAAAGTCAAGGAGTTGACAGAAACATCCTGGCATGTTTTTGGTTTAGCAAAATGTTTAGTGCTGTTAAAAAAAGATGTATGTTGGAAAGTTATGGGAGATGAGGGTGGAAAATAGGTTAGAACCAAATTGTAAAGGTTCCAAGTTTAAAAATTTTCCAAACTTTACAATAAAGTATTCTAGACTATTTTCTGTTTTTCATTTGTGTTATGTTATTCTATAGAAATTTAAAGTTCTTATCCATTATACTAAACTCATTGTTTTCCTGTGTTATTTTTTGCTGCTCCTTTAAGCAGCAAAAATTATTAACAAGCAATTAAAATATTAAACAAAGATGGCTTAATCATTTTTTAAGCAGAGGTAACCAGAAAGAATTTTCAATGACACTTTAATTTTTGGTCTTTGAGGAAGGAATCAAGACCTTGAAGTTATATCTATATTATTTAATAATTATTTACTTTAAAAAATGATAGGTTTCCTAGTTTCCTTACAGATACTGACTTACCACAAGTTCTACAGTTATACATATAGTAACTTTTTAAGGGACTATTTCTTGCTCATGTAATATTACTTTTCAGGAGATGTAATGTATTTTGAATGGCTGTTATTATTGTTTAAAATTTATTCACTTCATTGTCTTGCAACTAGGCTGAAAAGTTTTAGAAATGAATTATAAATAAATTCTAGATTCTGAGCATAAGTTTTCCCAATGTATTATTTTAACCTCTGAACCTCAAAAGATTTCATTTCAGACTGATTTTATTGGTTCTCTTTTTGAAAATGGAAGTGTTTCTAAAATTTCTAGAAAAGCCTGGTTTTTTTTAATAAGAAATCATAATCAATCCATAAGTGTTATTCACTGGATAGATTTAAGGCTGATAAATTGCTGTGTCCCTTGATGCTCTTCATTAGCATCAGAAGTACCATGGTGAAATAATGTTATGGGAACCTCAGGCTCTGGGGTTTTACAGAGGAGCAGGCAGTGCCCTGAGAGACAGCACTGGGTCACTGGGAGTTTTCACAGGTGCCTTCCTGGCTATGCTGAGGTCCTTTTGTTAGTGACTGGCAATAGTCACAGTTCATTTGGGAATGGGCAAGGGGACAAGCTGGGGAGGTTTCAGCATTTTAGAATATACATGTCTATGCAAACAAAACATGAGCATCATCTTTGATTTTGAAACATAACTTTAAAGTGGAAGCGTTTACCTATATAAAGTGGACATTTCCAGAGCACTCCATTACCAACAATTGGCCTCACATATCTAAAAACTTGACTGTAGTCTTATTTTAATGGGGCTTATGTAACAAAGCTTGAAAACCTGAGAATATTAATTTTTTTGTTTTTTTTTTCTTTTACAAAATGTTATTTAGAAAAGGACGTTTTATGTCTCCAAAAGACGGTGAAACAGAAATCAAATGACTGGAAAGGAACTGGAAAGGAAATTAACATTTATCTGTAGATGGGCCTTTATATATGAATCCACCGAACTGTCACAATTGTTGCACAGACATAATTAGAACCACATTTTTACAGATGAGTAAACTGAGGCTCAGAGAAGTTGAATGACAGGTCTGTGAATTGGATCCAGATCTTTCTGGCTCCAGTGTCCCTTTTCACACTGCTCCTCCCTATCATGAGTCCCAGCTCTATTTAAACATGTCATTTGATATTTTTGAGCCGTAGTTCTGCTCTAGTTAATTATCACAACATAACAAACCACCCCAACACTTAGTGATTTAAAACCGACAATTTAAATTCTCTCATACTCCAGTGGGCCCAACTGGCTTTCTTACCTGGTGGTCTCAGGGAAGTATTCCAAAAAAGTGAAATGGAAGCTGCGAGATCTCTTAGGACTTCTAGCCTCTAGAAGTCATAGTGCCACTTCACCACATTCTATTAGTCTCAGAAAGTCACAAGGCCAGCCCAGATTAAATGGTGGGAAATAGATTCTACCTCTTGATGGGAGGAACTGTAAACATTTCATGACCATATGCCATCAGTCACTATTCTTTTCTGTCTTTAATTTTTAACACATTGTGTTATGTTGTATTATTACCAAAGCACTGAAGAATGTTAGCAAGTGAAACTTTAGATTATTTGTCTCTAAAATGTGCCTCCTAATTTTGTTCTGCTTTACCATTGTGAAGAAGATATTTGAAAGGAGGTAATGAGCATGGAGATGCTTTGAAAACCTATAAATAGAGCCCTTTATAATCTAAGATGTTACTATGATTTATGGAAGATGCTAGTATTTATTGTAGAAATGATATTTCATCAATTAAAAAAGCAGATGAAGGCCAGGCATGGTGGCTCATGCCTGTAATCCCAGCATTTGGGAGGCTGAGGCGGGTGGATCACCTGAAGTCAGAAGTTCGAGACTAGCCTGACCAACATGGAGAAACCTCGTGTCTAAGAAAAATACAAAATTGGCTGGATGTGTTGGTGCATGCCACCATCCCAGCTACTCGGGAGGCTGAGGCAGGAGAATCGCTTGAACCCGGGAGGCGGAAATTGCAGTGAGCCGAGATCGCACCACTGCACTCCAGCCTAGGTAACAAGAGCGAATCTCTGTCTCAGAAAAAATTAAAATAAAAATAAAAAAGCTGATAAAAAAATATATGAAACAACCTCCTGTTCATAGGGCATATAATTCTTTCTTCTAGACTTACAGAAGCACTAATGGTTTTCTGAAACGTAATAATATGTGGTATTTTTTATTAAGTGTTTTGTTGTTGTTTGTGTGTGTAAAATCAAACAGTGAGTAAAAGTTGAATGGAATCGGTTTTCCATTCTTTGGGCAGTTAATAGTATTACAGCCAGATGTCCTCATACAAGGAAGTCTGTGAAATCATATCTTGGGAATAGAATGGTTTTCACTAATGCAGAAATTCCTAACTCAAAAGACTTTCCCAAAGAGTGAGATTCCTCAGTTAAATCTCTTTCTAAGAATCTTTCTAACTTTGAATATAGATTTCATAAAAATCTCAAATCATTGATAAGCTATAGTTTTATGAAATAAATTATTACTCTCAACTCCTTACTTTTCTAAAATCTATTTTTTTTGCATCTCAAAATATTATTACAGTTTGCTAAAATGAGTTTTAAAATGGAAAACCTACATAGTGGTATGAAACAGATATCCTCTTGATTACTTCTTTTTTTAAGGGATGAATAGGTGAGACGTTAGAACTTTACTTAGGAAGAGGTTCTTGAAAATTAACCCTGAACTATCTGTTCTTAAATGGCCCAAATAACTGACATTATAAAGATTAAAAGCTTTGAGTTTGGTCCTTTTTTGGAGTTGCTTTTATATATACATATCTACTTAAGTTGCGTTCTCTACCATGAAATCTGGGGATTAGAAAATACTTAGACCAAGCCACAGGCATATTCGTTTAGCTCACATTATGTTTTAAAAATTGAGTTAGTTGCCAATGTTTTAATCAGAAGATTTTATGTAAAAGTCTTAAATTCTAGCTTCGTGATAAAAGTCAGAATACCTGATAATATTGGGCCAGCATTCCCACTCTAATATAATGTTTTGAAGCTGAATAGAAGTTACCCTCGTTAGACGAGGCACATGCAACCTGGTTACCATTATTTTCACTTTCCATACTTTTATAATCTGCCTGGTTGTCCTAGGCATTTGAGTTTGAGACAATGACAGAGTTGTGGCTGAAGGATTCAAACATGCCTCTGACGTTTGATAAACAAACACAATTTGAGGGCTACTTCTGGGCATATCAGTGGTACATCAGTGACAAAGGATTGAGACCCTCAGATGGATGGGTGCAAAGAGAAATGAGGAACTTAAGAATTCCATATGCCACCTGATCAAGCTCTGAATAGCAGTGGTACAGGTTCTGCCCATCTTTGAACCATATCATAAAACCTGATTTTGGCAGTAATACTTCAGCACAGATTGTACCTGCTGTTTTTAAAATACTGCTTATCAGTCATTTTTAGCATCATATTGATATCAAGGCCAACACAGCCTAAAATTTTGACTTCCCTCAATGCTGCTGAAAGCTACAAAGAAAGGAGGACAATAATTATAATCCCAAATTACCCTTAATTCTGAACTCAGGAATTTAGGCAAACTAACTAAATAGTAGACCTTTCTTTTGATCAAATTTTGGATTGGCACAGTCTTTAAGAGATGTGATATTTGATCTGTATTTTTGTTAAAAATCTTGTGAATTCTGCAGTGAATTTTTTCCAGAGTAGTTATCATTGTCCTACCAATTAGAAATTTTAATGTTGATTAAAAAGCAAAACGGTCCAAATGTCTGCAGTTTTACTTTCTAAAACAGAGAAATGAAATGGATCAGCACTACAGAAAATTATCAAAATTAGCTTTTAATAGCAGTAGCTAACGTTATGCAGTGCTTATTATGTGCCATCCCTTTGAGATAGATATCCCCACTTTTAGATGAGAAAATTGAGGCATGGATAGGGGATTAAATTTGTCTAAATTTGCAGAGCATGAGGATTTGTTTCTAGGAATTTGTTTAAAGATTATACAATGCTTTGCGATGGTTATAGTCTTGTTTTATAGATTAAGTGCTTTTAATCGCTTGGCTCCACCCTCTTTCAGTTTGCGCTCTCTCAGACATACGTGACAGCCACCACTGAATTTCACAAAGGTCTTTTTTTCAGACATTGTAAGAATGTGCAGGAGTCCAATGTTTTTTGGGCTTTGGGGACATTCTGTATGAAACTTAAGGATTTATAGTCATATGTATTGTAATAACAGACAAAACCAAAATTCATTAATATGAAGATTGGTAGAAACTGTGGATTTTCCTTATAAAACAAAATCATATATTTCCATTTTAAATGTCATTTTTTTCTCTTCTGAGATTGTTTGAATATAGCCAATGTGTGTTCTTAAATTTAGTTTTTAAATGTGGTAATGTACAAAGATGAAAATTACGGTGAGACTATTTGGATTTTTTTAAGAATGGCATCTGGCCACAGAATTGCAATCCATACACTACACAACATAAAAAACATACATTACAGCACTAAATATAGTTCAGGCTTGCCTTTGCTTCTGACTTCAAGGACTGAACCATATAAACACAAGGCAGATGAACTAGTGAGAAGTCACTTGGTGTAGAAGTCCTTGTTAATTAAAGTGTCCATGGACCAGCAGCATGGGCATCACCCAGGAGCTTGTAAAAAGCAGACTCTCAGACCCCAGCTTTGACCTATGGAAGCGGAATTTATATTTACATCAACAGATTATTCCTATGCACACTAATGTCTGAGAAGCATTGGGTTAGATAGATTGGATTCTGCCAGTCTCTGGGAATTAGCTATTCATCTTTGAATAAGTTACTATGTTCTATGTATTTTAGTTTCCTCCATTTCTTGCTACTTACTACATGTTGATTTAGAGCAACTTAATTCTGTAATCTTCATTTAGTTGCCTATAAAATAGGGATATTAATAATACCTACCTCCTATTATTATAAGGATTAAATGAGGTAATGAGTGTAAAATATATAGAATATTGTCCACATATAGTATGTGATTAATATGTGCTTGTGATGGTTCTTTTAGTTATTTCTCTGGTGCGCTATATAATCTTATTGATTACATGACAAGTGGAATTAGAAATTTCTTTCAAAATCTACTACACAGATATATAAATATGCTTTTAAAAATCAAAAAATTAGAAGGAGATAAATTTTCCAAGGGTTAAAGAGTCTAGTGGAAAAAACACTGGAATGGGAATTACACAGACTAAACTCTAGTCCCAATTCTTTTGACCTTGAGCCTGACATTTAACTTTTTTGATTTCATGGATATTATATAAGAATATAAAATGCCTTAACATGCTTATAGTGCAGTTATATAGATTTATAGAACTGGCAGTAACCAATTATTATGCATACATTGTCTTAATCTATGAGAATTTGTGATAGGGTGTTCAGGTGACTGCTGTTCTGTGACATTATATTGGGTACTTGTAGAAGTTTCAGTAAATCCTTCAGATTATTAAATTACTGTTTAAGCTGCAAACACATGTCCTGATTTCCTATATCTAATCCCAAATCCATTATTTATATAAGAAGTAGTTCCTTTTTGTGTATTTATATTTATTTTATTTATTTATTTATTCGAGATGGAGTCTTGCTCTGTCACCCAGGCTGGAGTGCAGTGGTGTAATCTCGCCTCACTGCAACCCCTGCCTCCCAGGTGATCCTCCTGCCTCAGCCTCCAGGCATCCACCATTACGACTGGCTAATTTTTGGTATTTTTAGTAGAGACAGAGTTTCACCATGTTGGCCAGGCTGATCTCGAACTCCTGACCTCAAGTGATCTGCCTACCTTGGCCTTCCAAAGTGTTGGGATTACAGGTGTGAGCCACCACGCCCAGCTAATTTGCTTTTTGAAACTCTGTTTATTACGCAATAATGCCAACACATTTATTAAAGCTTCAAATAAAAGTCAGCTTTCCTCTCCTCTTTATGTCATATGTTCATCTAGGTGATATATGCCTGAATCATTGCAGGCACACAACAAACCTTCACCAAATAAGACAGTAACTTTACCCTTGTTTTCTGCTCTCCATTAAATAATTCACTGGAATTTGTTGCTTCCCTTTTATGTTAGTAGAGTCTGTACCAAAATATCAACTCTATGATAACCAAGAACTTTGAGTTAGGAGCTCATTGTAACTCTTCTTTGCTTGAAAATCTGTCCCAAATTCATAATTAACTTGGCCAGTGTTTATATTGGAGTAGAGTATACTGTGAAACTTGTATAAATGAATAGAACTTCTTGGACCTTCCTTAATCTGTGGCTTTTGTTTCTCTTTTTCAATTATTAATGATAAATCTTCCCAGTGAACATGCAGCCAACACATTGAATAAATATTTCAATTAAGTCGGATGTTGATGTGAATGCAAATTAAATTAGGCAATTTTTCTGCTTATTTTAATATATCTGCAAATCATATCCCATTGAAGTGCTTTGTGATGTTTTTTAAAAAAGAGATAAAGTGATCTCTTAAAAACTGAGGAGTGCTGTTATGCTTAAGCATCAGATTCATAAATAAATAAAGACATTTCTTATCAACCTATCTCTGAGACAAAGACTTCAGCCGTTAGAAAAAAGACGTTCTCAAAGGAACCATGTTCTTAAATACAAATTTTGATACTTATCTGAAGGGGATATTTGATTATGGATTCAAAACAATACATCCAGCACTAAGAGGACCAGAAGGAATTTATGTGATGGAAAAGAGGGTGCAGCACGTGTGTGTGTGTGTGTGTGTGCATGCATGTGTGTGCGCGTGTGTGTATAAACATTGAAGCTGCAGTGTATTACAGTTATCTTCTTGTTAGCAGCTTTTAAAAGATGTAATTGACATAGATATTTAGTGTACATATTTAGTGTGGGGTACAATTTGATAAATTCTGACTTATGTATAAACCATAAAGCCATCACTGCAATCAAGATAAAAAACACATTTAGTTACTAAACATATTTAGTTATTGGAATGTCAGAACCAGATTTCATCACCAGTAAAAATTTTACTTTATGTTGCATTTCAAAAATTAAGTTAGATTTGTGTATATTCATTTGTGTTTAGTCACAAAGCATTGTTTTTGTAACTAATTAATGGTTTTTGTCTTGTTTTTTAAAAAATTTAGGGTGTGGCTGGAATGCATGCTGTAGCATGACTGGCCTCCAGTGGTGTCTTTGAAGAATAGCATCACTGGGAAAGTCAAAGCAACAGGTGAAATTTAAAAGATAAGAGCAATTTGCACATCAGCTAAGATGCTGTGGCACAGTCTAATTGGCAGGGGCTGGTGAAATAGAACATTAGATCTTCAAAAATGGAAGGTGAGAACTACCCTCTTCCAATGTTGGGATTCCTCAGTGGCAAGAAGTGCTCTGATGCTGAGTGATGCTTGACTGCAGTTATTACTCAGGAATTTTTCACAGAGGAAACATCAAGGTTTATATTGATTTTCTTTTTCTAGAAGAGACTTTTTTAGGCTGCATTTTTTTCTACTGTGTTGATGCTTCAGAATATATCTTTATTATTTACCTTTTTTCCTTTTGTGCCTTTTTCTTCTTACAGCTTTTAATTTGGTTATATACTCCAAGAACTCTAAAACTGTACCTATATGAGTAAAAATTGTTACACATAAAATGCGTTTTTGATTTGGAGTCATTTTAATGATGAATTTAGGTGCCTGAGAGTGTGCCTGTGATTTGTATCAGGCACGAAGACAAGAAATGTTTAGATCTTGAACTGCTATGTTCTGGCATGTCCTATCTCTTTATTCTTTCTTTCTATTATTCTATTGTTATCCCCAGTAGAGGAAATGTAGAATCACAAATTAGATTATGAGGATTGGGGGAGAATCTAGGTTACAATAAGTGAAACAGATTTATACCTTTCTGTTTATAAGTATAATAATAATTCTTTTATAAAAATAGAATTCTTTATCATATGAAAAGGAGAACTAGTTTCTTGTATAAATACATTTGTACTCTACATCTCACTGTCTGTGCATGCTCATATTATGTCTTCCTACAGTTTTTGTCCATGCATGTTTATAGTAGTTAACTGCAGGCTCTCATCTGTGCTAATGAGTCTGGTGAGCCACTTCGTTGGCTGCCATGTGGAATCTGAGCACATCTTTCCTTTATTCCATGTCCCTCTGGTCTATCACCAGGCTCCACTGGGATACAAAGGTGCATATTGTCTGATTAGAACCCTTCTTCCCCATGGTGCTCTGATGAGGGGCTGCCAAAGTAGTGTAGCTGTGCTCCAGCGTCTTACAAAGTTCATCCCGATTCTTCCTATAGGGTTCAAATATAAGGAGCACTCAGAAGCTGACCAGGAGTTCAGTGCCTGTGACAGCAACCAGCCTTTCCTATTTTATGAAGGACACCTTGTCACTGCATGGGTCTCCTTATGAATTGCTCCATCTTCCGTTTGAATGAGCTGTTTACAAAAGTCTCCCAGTCTCCTCATCAATCAGGATTAATTGATTTGTTAAATAACTGATTAATCACTGGAACCAATGAAACCCCAAAATCACAGTGACTTAAATAAGATAGTAGTTCATTTCTCTCCCACATAAAATAAATCCAGACGTTGGTAACCTGGGGCTGGTAAGGCGCTCCATGGGCTCAGGAATCCAGGGTCCTTCTATCTTGCTTCTCTGCCATCCTTACCATGAGGCTTCCACCTCACAGCCTGAGCTGATGGTTCAAGCTGTAACCATCATGTCCAGCAGAATCACAAAAAGTGGATAGCAGTATTTATGCTTTATCTTTAAGGCCACTTCCAAAGCTGCAAATAACTCTTTTTAAAAAAATTCTATTGGTCATCACATAGTTACATGACCATACTTTGCTTTAGATGAGACTAGGAAATGTATGCTGCAGGAGCACATATGCAGCCATGTGCCCAACTATTACTATTATTATTATTGTTGTTATCATTATTATTTTATCAAAGCAAGAAGGGAGACCATCTATTGAAGAATAAGCCTTCAATGCTGTATGTAGAAACATAGAAAAAAACCCAGTAAGTCGATTTTGCCACAATACTTATGCAAGTAGGTCTCTGGAAGACTCATTCTACCAGTCCACACAATTTGTCTAAGTCTGGGCTTAAATTCAAGCTAAGACCTACTCCATTATACTTTGCTTCATTGTAAAGTACCATATGCCTTGGGCAAAAGCAATATTAATTGCTTCCAAAGCCATCAAGGGCTATTTTATTTGGACCTTTCTGTGGCAAATATTATCACTCCTTCAATTCCAGATTTGGGCTAGGATGTCTGTCATTTACAGAGTTGTCCAGTGTCACTTTTCCTTTTTTATATCATTAGATTTTCTTAAAGTGAGTCACTCATACTCTCTCTCTCTCATATGCTGGAATAGTCTATATGATGTGACCTTTGCACCAGTTGTGCCAGATGGTGTGCTTTCATGACAAGTATTCACTCCCCTAAATTATTCCCACAAAAAGGTATAGCTGATTTCTTTTTTTCTGATAGATCTCTGTGCTAGAGTTAAGTTAATAGAACTCATTCAGATTGGTTATGGTTGTCTTCAGGTCACTCAGCAACATAATTCCTTTTCTCTGAGTGAGTCCTAGCTTATACTCTGTAAGGTAGATTTGGCTGCGTTGAGCTATTGTCTAAGAGTGGTAGACTCCAGTATGCAAATTGCACCCAATTTATACAGCTTGGGAGTGTGTTTTCTTATCAAAGATTACTCTATTTCCTAAACCAAAGGGAAAATAAATTAGGATGGACTAGTGTTAGAGAAAAAGCTACTGCTTTTGGTACATGTTCATTTCAGGAAGCACTGTATAAATGAAAACTTTCCAATTTTTGCCCAAGGGCTGACTCTGTTTGAAGGACTATTAATTTTAGACATAATCAAGAGAAATTATAGGCCCAGATGTAGGGAAATCAGAATGCTGCAAATATTTGAGCACTATTAATTATTTTAGCTTTTACAAAGCTAACTTTGAAATTTGAGTTAGCCATTAGCTCAAAGTAAAAACCCAAAATAGCTATAGATAAATTTTCCTCTTGTATATATATGTGTGTGTGTGTGTGTGTGTGTGTGTATATATATGCACACACACACACACGCACACACACATATATATGTATATATACACACACACACAAATCATAAATGTGCTTGTGTATATATAAGATAAATAAAATGATAAAGTCTAAAATATCTTAGTGGTTTATAAATGCTATTCATGTAATATTGGACAAGCCATGTTTCAGAGTTTCCACTTTCTTTTTATATTTGCCTACTGAGTGAAATTTATAGCATTGAATGAATTGTTTGGAAAAGAAAAAAGATTAAAATCCATCAATCTAAGCTTTTATCATAGAAAACTAGAGAAGATAAAGAACTATATAAACCTAAAGCAAACAGAAGAAAAGAAATAAGAATTACAGCAGATACAAATGAAATTTAAAACAATAGAGTAAAATCAATGAAACCAAAAGCTGATTATTTGAAAAGATATATAAAGTTGATAAAATTTTAGTCAAACTAACAAAGAAAAGAAGAAAGAAAACACAAATTCCTAATATCAGAAATCAAAGAGGGATGGATCATCACCGTTGATTCCATGGATATTAAAAGAGCAATAAATAAATATTATGCACAACAACTAAGATGAAGTGGACTAATTCCTTGAAAAGTACAATCTACCAAAACCTATACAAAAAGAAATAGGTGATCTGTAAGTCTGTATCTATGACAGAAATCAAATCAATGGTTAATAACCTTCTAATAAATAAAGCACCAGGCTCAAATGGTTTCACTGATGAATTCTACCAAATATTTAAGGAAGATATGATAACAATTCTCTACAATGTCTTCCAAAAAATGGAGACAGAATACTTCCTAGTTAATCCTATGAGGCTGGTATAACCCTAATTCTAAAACCCAATAAAGACAGGACAAGAAAGGAAAACTACAGACCAATATCTGTCATGAAAATAATGTAAAAATATTGAACAGAAAGATTTATATACCATTATCAAGTGAGATTTATTCTGTGTATACAAGGCTGGTTCACCATTCAAAAGTCAATTAAGGTAATTCATCACATCAACAGCCTAAAGAAGAAAAATCGTATGATCATATAAGTGAAGGTAGAAAAAGCATTAGACAAAATCCAACACCCATTCCTCAAAAAATAAAAAGAATCACAGAAAACTAGGAACTGAGGGGAACTTCCTTAACCTGATAAATAACATCTACAAAAGGCCTATAGCAAATATTAGACTTAATGGTGAGAAACTAGCTGCTTTCCCCCTAAGACTGGCAACAAGTAAAAATGTTTTCTCTTACTCTCATATTCTACATCATACTGGAAGCTTAGCTAATACAATAACACAAGAAAAGGAAATAACAGATATATTGGGAAAAAAGAAATAAAACTCTCTTTGTTCACAGATGGCATAATTGTCTATGTAGAAAATCCCAAATGGTCAACAACAATAACAAAGACCTCTTGGAACTAATATTGATGATAGCAGGATCACAGGATACAAGGTTAATATACAAAAGTCAGCTGATTTCCTATATACCATCAATGAGCAATTGGAATTGGAATTTTTCATTAGCACCAAAAAATGAAATACTTATGTGTAATTCTAATAAGACATGTATAAGATATATATGAGAAGAACCACAAAACTATAATGAAAGAAACCAAAGGAGATCTAAATAAATATTCCATGTTCATAGATAAGAAGACTCAATATTATTAAGATTTCACTTCTTCTCAACTTGATCTATAGACTCAATACAATCCCAATCAAAATCTCAGCAAGTTGTCTTGTGGATACTGACAAACTGATTCTAAAGTTTATATGGAAAGGCAAAAGACTCAGAATAATAAACACAATATGGAAGAAAAATAACAGAGGACTGACACTACCCAACTTAAGACAATATAAAGCTATAGTAATCAAGACAGTGTGGTACTGGTGAAAGAATTAACACATAGATCAATGGAAAAGAATAGAAAGCCCAGAATAGATACACACAAATACAGTGAACTGATTTTTGACCAAGATAAAAGGCAATTCAATGCAGAAATGAGAGTGTTTTCAACAAATGGTGCTGGAATAACTGCATACCCACATGCGACAAAAAGTGAATCTAGTGGCAGATATTATACTTTTCGCAAAAAGTGATGCAAAATGGATCAAGAGTTAAATGTAAAATGTAAAACGATGAAACTTCTAGAAGATAACATAGCAGAAAATCTAGGTGACCTTGGGTTTGATGATGAGTTTTTAGATACAGTACCAAAAGGATGATTCAGGAAAACAAAAATTGATAAGTTGGGCTTCTTTAAAATTTAAAACTTCTGTTTTATGAAAGACACAGTTAAAAGAATAGAAAGACAAGCCACAGGCTACAAGAAAAAAAATCTTTGCAAAACACATATCTGATAAATTGTAGCCATTATATACAAAGAAATCTTCAAACTCAACAACAAGAAAACAAGCAATCCAGTTTACACATGTGTAAGTGATCTGAACAGATACCTTATCAAAGAAGATATACAGATGGCAAAAGATGCATATGAAGAGATGCTGGACATTACATCTCATTAGGAAATCACAAATTAAAACAAGATGTTGTTTTACAGTACAAACCTATTAGAATTACTAAATCCAAAACACTGGCAATACTGAATGCTGGCAAAGAGGTGGAACAACAGAAACTGTCATTCATTGATGTTAAGAATGCAAAATGGCACAGCCACTTGGGAAATCAACTTGGTAGTGTCTTAGCAAGGCTAAACACAGTCTTACTGTACAATCTAGTGATCATACTTCTAGGTGTTTACTCAAATGAAATGAAAACTTAGGTGCACACAGAAATCTGCGCTTGAATGTTTACAGCAGCTTTATTCATAATTGTGAAAAACCAGAGGCAACCAAGATATCCCTCAATAGATGAATGGATAAACTGTGATATTACAGTTTACAATGGAATATTATTCAGTGACAAATGAACTATCAAGCCACAAAAAAATATGCAGCAGCTGTAAGGGCATATGGCTAAGTGAAGAAACAAGCCCTTTTGAAAAGGCTACATACCATTTGATTCAAACTATATAACATTTTAGAAAAGGCAAAACTTTAGAGATAGTAAAAACATCAGTGTTTTTCAGAACTTTTGTGGGGAGAAGGGGAAGTGATGAATAGATGAAGCACAGGGAATTTTTAGGGTCGTGAAACTATTCTGTATGATCTTGTAATGCTGTGTGATCCTGGAATACATGACACAATGTACTTGTCCAAACTCATAGAACTGTACAACATAAAAAGTAAACTCTGATGCAAATTATAGACCTTAATTAATTAAAAAATAGAATAAAATCAACAACAAAAACATTTTTCCGAATTATAGAGATTACTGTTGATAACATGTTCATGTATCTCTTTCCAAATGTATATATGTAAATGTATCATAATTAGTTTTTTACATACATGAATGAATTTGATATTTCTCCCTACACTGCCAAAAATCAGGCTTTGACTAAATACAGAGTAACTTTTTGCAGAGATAGTATTTCTTCTAGCTGTAAGAAGGAAATATCCTTAATTTCTCTAGGAAATTCAATATGGATCCCAAGGGATGTGTCAAATTCTAGGCATTAGTGGTGTTAACTGGACTCTAAAGATACATAACTTTAGCATTTTTAATTATCAATATTCCTTCCAATGTTCTTAGGCAACAACAAATTTTTCATTCTTTCATACATTCATGCATTCATTCATCTATCTAAGAAAAAGTTACAGAGCTCATATAACACGTCAGTTAATGTTTTTTGGCACCAGGAACTTGTCTTAGTGGAGTCTGTATTTCTATGGAGAGAAAAAAAAATTCAACAAATAAGAACCCAATTACCTATATTACTAGAAGTTGTGGTAGGTGCTATGAAAGAGGACACAGGTTTGTATAAGAGAGTTTTACAAGGAGACCTGGTTTGGCTTGAGTTGGGAATGCATTAAGGGAGGCTTCTATGACCAAGTTATACTGAAGTTGAGATTTGAAGGATGAGTCAGATGCAAGAATGAGGACAACATTCCAGGCAGAGGGAAGTACACATGCAAGCCCTGAAGTGGGAAAGACCTTGATGCACATAGGGACTGAAAGAAGGCCAGTGTCACCGGTGTATGGTGAGGATAGAGAAGCAAAGAGGGTCCAGCTCATGAAGGCTTTGGAGTTGTTACTAAGTTTAATGGAAATTTATTGGAATTATTTGGGCATTGGCTAGGTGGAAACAATTCTATAATTTGACACTGTTACACTGAGAGGAATGGTGGAGGGATGGAGTAGAAGTAGGGTAGCTGATAGGATGTTATGGTTATAGACCTGGTGAGCAGCAGCGGTGGCTGGTGGCTGTGGGGATGAAAAAAAAGTGTACATGGAAGATATATTTTGGTGGAAAAATTTATAAGACTCAGGGATAGATTGAATGTGGACAACTCCCAGGTGTTTGGCTGGGTACTATTCACTTAGATGGGGAAGCCTGGAGAAAAAAACATTTCGGGGGAAAAAATCCAAAAATAGTATGTGAGACATCAAAGTGGATATGTCAGATGGGCAGCTCAGAAAAGAGGCTAGAACCAGAGATAGGAACTTTGGATTGAGCACATATATGAGATTTACCACCATGGGAGCAGATGCTGCTGGTGGGGCGCATGTATAGGCTAAGAAGAGAGGAAGCCCCAGGACAGTTCTGAATTTGAGTTCCGATAGAAAAGGAGGACACCTCAAAGAAAACTGAAGCAAAGCAGAAAGACCATGAAAAGAACAGGAGAAAGTTGAGTGCCAGAACTAAGAAAAGAAAATTCCAAAAGAAGGAAGAATGTCCAACTGTGAAGTGCTGTTAAAAAATCAGATAATCTGAGGACTGTCAAATCTCTATGAGATTTGGCAACGTGGAGGTCACTAGTAATTTAGTAAGATATTTCCTAGTATCTTAATCACATACCTAGACGGAACTGAATTTCTAGATATCCTCCTCTTTATTGTTCTCACCTTTTGTTCCAGGACTAACTTCATTTTCAGTTCCTCTTCACTTTCCCAAGTTATTTTCCTATCCATCTATTCTCCTCACTTTGGGCCAATAGAAAAGTGTAACACAGGGAGGAGGGGAGGTGAGGAAAAGAAAACAGGACAAAAGTTAATGCAACATGGTATTTAATTTTGTGCATTCTTCACAGAATTGCTTTTCCTCCTTGTATTTGCCTAAGTATTTCATTTACTTAGAAAAACAAGTATATTTTAATTTTAAAATATTATCTGTTTCATCATGCTCAACATAAATGTAATCCTGTGTTGTCTACTCCTGAAGTGATTAAACTATAAATAGAGCTTTCTTTGCAACTTAATTTGCTATAATCCTTAGCATAAAATGAAGATGTCCTTAATGTGGAATGCAAATACTATGATATGGCTGATGTCATGAGGACTTGAAACGTTTCATCCTCTTTCACTAATTTTTTTTAAACATTCATATAAGAAAAGCCTTGGCATTAAATGCTAAGAAATAGGTGCTTAGATGGCCAGAAATTGACTGGGTTTGATGGCCTTCATGATACAAAAACATCAACTGTTTTAAAAATAGTATTATCTAAGACTGAAGATTTCTTTTAAGTGAGAAATGTATTTTGAAATTAAGGAAAAGAATGTCAGTGATGTTTTAATGGCAATTTTTGAAAGTAGTCAAAAGACACTCCAGTATATATCGTCATGAATTTATGACTAATGACTAAAATAATTTAGAATTCTGCTTAGCACTAATCAAAATCCAGTTAAAAGACTGCTTTTGTACTTTTGAAGCACGTAAGATCTTTGGAAATGCATTACTGAATATTATTTGTGCTTTTAATGCTTCATCAACATTTAGGAGTACAAGCTTCCATTGTCAGTGTTTTAAAAGTCAGCTATGTAAAGCTGATAGAGTATACATATTAAATATATCCATTAGTCATTCTCAGGAAGTGGAATATGTACACACATCTGAATATTTGCTTAAATATAAAACAAGAGTAAGATGTTTAAGCTTCAATGTAGAATAAAATACTGATATTTGGGTTTTAGGTTAAAAAATATTAGTTGTGATTTTTGTCCCCCTTTTCCTCCATGCCTTTGATTCCTTCCCTCTGAAGACAGACAAAATCCTGACTTAGGCAGTATTTTTTAAAATACCAAGGGTCTCGGAAACCTAGGGTTTGATAAGTAAGAGGAACAGATCAAATTCTAAATCTCCTTTGTCCACATTGTCATTCTCCAGCTTGTTGTTCTTTTCAGTGGTGAGGTAAGAATATAACTCCTACTTAATGTTCCTGTTCCTTAGGTGAAACACTACCACCTTTTGTTCAAAAGTTAGATGCTGGGGTTGTTGCTGTTGTTGTTTTCTTCTTTTCTTCCTTTACTTTTTAGATTTTGATGGAGACGTGGTAGGAAGTCTGGGCTGGGAAATGAGGTGAAAAAGAAAAGCAATTAGTTTGTCTTTATACAAAATAAAACCTTCTAAAAAACCTTATTATCACAAAAAAGAGCTCTACAAATCTAGATAGTTGTTTTGAAGAAGAGAAGAGAATTGTGAAAAACATGTATAATTTGGGAGGGCTGGGCACAGTGGCTTATGCCTGTAATCCCAGCACTTTGGGATGCTGAGGCAGGCAGATCACCTGAGATCAGGAGTTTGAGACCAGCCTGGCCAACATAATGAAACCCTGTCTCTACTAAAAATACAAAACATTAGCTGGGTGTGGTAACACACGTCTGTGGTCTCAGCTACTTTGGAGGCTGAGGCACGAGAATCGCTTGAACCCAGGAGGCAGAGGTTGCAGTTAGCTGAGATTGTGCCACTGCACTCCAGCTTTGGTGATAGAACGAGATTCCATCTCAAAGCTAAACAACAACAACAACAACAATAACAACAACAAAAACATGTATAACTGGGAAAAAACTGAAAGAGAATGCAGGATCATAAAAATATAGCAAACAAAGTGAGTGGGATTTAAAATTAGTGGAATAAGAAATAATGGGTAACAATGAAGAACATAATTTAGGTAATAGTATAGTATCTTGGGAGCCCTCCTGGAAGTATCTAGTTATGGACAGTGAGCAGCAGAAACAGGATGTAACTCAATTCAGCATACTTGATGGTTGTGGTAACCCTAGAAAATGACTCCAGGAAATAGGTGAGAATCCAATCAGATTGAGAGGCTAATGTTCATGACAGGGGTGCCCTAGCAGACAGGCAAAGCTGAATAGAAATTCAGGAGGAGAGGAATTTTGGCTATTTAGTAAAATTATGAGCAGTTGGTCATAGGCAAATTTTATGAGTAGGTAGCCCTTCTGAAGTCTTAGGCATATAATTAACCTAGGTTGGAATTATAATTAGACATCAAAGTTTAAACTTTTTTATCTGAACCGAGATGCAAAAGTAAATTGGTTCTGTGTTCTGGAGAATTGTAAAAGAATTCCTTAATTCCTTAGCAAAATTTGGAAGTCAGTATCAAGTGGTGAGGATAGGAAAGTTGAAGAGACTGTGGACCAGGCAAGACCTTATCAGTTGATTTAGGAAGCAGCAGTGACAGAGGCCAGACAGGTAACAAGAGAAAAGAGAAGGTGGAAAGTAAGAGACAGTTTTAATTGCTACGATAGAAAGATGGGATTTTGAAAAGATTAGCTATATGGAATAAAATTAACCAAAAATTGATCCAAGATTATAAGAAACTATTTCAAGACTCATTAATTTTACTATTGCTGTCAAACACACATTAAATCATTTTCCACTTGGGTCAGCTATAGGCATGAAGGTTCATTTGTGAAACAATTTCTGTAGAGTATTATTCCATGATCTGACATGCTTCACAAACTGTGTTTGTACATCCAACTTAAAAGCTGAATAGTCTATGGTAATTCTGCCATCATGTTTGAAATTTTCTTACCTTAAACAAAAAACCTGATCATATTGTATTACTCAAATGTGTGTAAGACTAGATTTAACTTAATGTGTACTAGTGTACAGTGTGAGACTGCATAAACAAACTTTAAAGAAATTCGTTATACATATTTTGATTTAACCTACAATGAAGTTAAGAGAAATCCTTAACCCCATTAGAGATTTGGGAGAGGGATGTGGCAACTGCTAACTTATAAATATTTTGCTAATGCTTAAATTTTACTAGCTTTCTGTCAATTCCTATTTTTACTCAAAAAATTATATAGTATTTAAATTTATAATTTGTATTCAGTTATTCTAGCTTACTATTATATGGTATGGCTTGACGGAAAGGACATTGTCTTCTTCTCTTCTGCAAAGCAGAAAAATATCCACTAAACACAAAAATATACACAGCAAATGTTAAAGTAGCCCTCTAAACCTTATGAAGACTTTTAAATCCTCAAATAGTACTTCAGAGCAACTGGATTTAATATCTTTCATCCAGCAGAGGGCTACCAAACTCCATTAGTTTCTGTGAACACACATGACAAAAAAATTCAGATGGGTTATTTCAGTGGTTTTCAGATTGTTTTAAGCAGCAGATCCTTTTCTTAAGATAGAGTTTTACAGTGTGGAAGTGAGATACACTCTCTGCTTTAATTGGAGAAGGGCCTCCAAGCTGCCTCTCCAGAAGGCCCAGAGAGGTGTGGAGGATAATTGAAACCCTCCACTCTGATTTATCCAAAAATACACTCCCACATTTAAAGTCAGCTCTTTTTGGGATCAGTCGTAATCCTTAATGCTGACACCGCATGGAAAATATATAAGCAGAATGATGCCCAAGTTATAGAAGTTCCTCTTCCTGGATTTTGTCTTCAATTGTAACTGTAGTTCCTACCGTGTGGTTGTATGTGTTGTTAGTTTGTTTTTGTTTTGTTTTGTTTGGGAAAGGTGACATTTCATCTCCAATCTAATGAGTGAGAAAGATGCTTATTCTGACAAATTTTCTTCACAATATTTCATAGGTGTGCCAAGCTGACAGATTGGTTGACTCTGTACTCTTTTATTTTATTCCTGTAACTGGGCCAGTTTCTGCCCTTAACTAAAACTGGATCAATTATAGGAGTGAAATAAAGGTCCATCTCCTGCCTATTTATTACTTTGCTTTGGTAATAAATCTATTTTTAAAAGAACCTATTACAGAGACTTCCATTTGGAATTATGCATACTTGGTGTCAAATGGTGATTGTTCTTTGTTGTGTTTTTCCATTCGAAACAAAGCTTTTGTGAGGCGTCCCTTTATTCTGATTAAGGCCTGGTGTAAATCTTTGATAATGAAGCCCATTAACAAAAATGACTATAAATAGCTCTACTTCTATCAGGGATATTAAATACTTTCTCAAGCACACATGCTCACTGATTTTAAGACTCATTCCACAGTGTTCCAAGTTGCGTGTTAGATTTTTTTTTTCTTGAGACGAAGTTTTGCTCTGTTGCCCAGGTTGGAGTGCAGTAGCGTGATAACGGCTCACTGCAACCTCAGTCTCCCAGGTTTAAACGATTCTCCTGCCTCAGCCTCCCAAATAGCTGGGATTACAGGCACATGCCACCATGCCTGGCTAATTTTTGTATTTTTAGTAGAGATGGGGTTTTGCCATGTTGGCCATGCAGGTCTTGAACTCCTGACCTCAGGTGATCTACCCACTTTGGCCTCCCAAAGTGCTGGGATTATAGGCATGAGCCACCGCGCCCAGCCAGTGTTGGATTTTATCATTACCAAATAGTCATAAAGAGTGTGAGCTTATTAATGATGCTGACCATTCAAAGTGATCAGCAATCTCTTTGCACACACACTATCTCTGGGGATGAGTCTATCTATTTCCAGTCCATCCATCTTGTTTTGGTCTTGTAAATCTACTTTATTATCTTATGCTTTTATATTCATGTTTTGTTTCAGAACAATAATCATAGTAGTATCATTTATTGATCTGTTACCAGTGTTTTACATGTGCTATTTCACTTGGTTCTGTTAGGTAGATATTGTCTTCATTCATGTGAAATGAGATTGAAGCCCATAAAGGTGAAGTAATGCACCCAACATAGAACCCAAATTAGGATTCAAAAACCCAAATTTGATGCCCTCTACCACATAAAGAAGCTTTATTTCATAGCAGTAGCAAAACCATTATTTGATCAGTTAATAAAAAAGATGGTTAAAGTGGAGAAAAAACTGATATATGCGTAGTTTAAACATTTTATTTCAACTTGAAACACGTAAGTTGGACATTCGTTTACCAATGATCTGATGTCCAGTCAAGACCTTTTATTTAAGTATATTTTATTTAAGAAGTTTCCAGAATTTGGGGTTTAGCTTTGTGTTTTTAAAAATAAACAATACCTATTTGTAGGCATTGTCTCACTGGTTTGTTATCTGTTAAAGGCAGTCAGTAATTAAAGACACTTGCAAAACAATCTGATTGTAGAACTTCTAAATATTTTCGAAGCTTCCTCCCCAATCTTTTTGATTTGTTTCAGACATACCCATAATTCAATAGCAATATTGTAGAAATTCCTTTTTATTAAGTTCTTACAAAGCATGCATCGTAATTTTCATAAAGCAATAATTTTTGGAACTCATTTTTATTAGATAATCTAAGATTTATTTAAATTATGTAATTGCAATAGCAACTACAATAGGATCAAAAGGTTTGGGATAAACATACTTGACTCTTGCTGAGCATATAACTTTACTAGTGGGAGAAGAATGTACACATATTATAGAATGGCTAGTAAGCTACAAGCTTTTAATGTATGGTGGGCATCAGTCAGCATTTATAGAGAAAATGGAAACATTTTCTTAAGTAAAGTTTCGCTGAGAGAGCTTCTACTCTGTTTTTCAAGAAATTAGGGGAGAGAGAGAATTTACTCCTTGTCTGTGAAGACATGGGATTTAAGCTATGTGTATCACAGGACTTGAAACAGAAAAAAAAACTCTACAGATGTTTTTATTTTACAAAGTTAGTTGGGTTAAATATTGCCCAAAGTTTCTACCTGAACCATCAAGTTTGGTTTTCATAAAAAGCTTTTAATTTGTGAGAAAAATGTTATTTGAATTCTTTCAATTACATCTTATCAGATTTTGGTGATGCTTTTGAATTCTCAAATGTTTCAAGTTGCAATTCTCTGTTAAGATTTATTACATCATTATCAAAACTTTGTATTAAGAAAAGAGTATATCTTTCTGAAGTCCCGTAGTACATATTGTTTCTGCCATTCATTTGATGCTTATATTTCTCATTTGCTAACATTTATAATCATCTGTTCTTACGCAAAGCAGTATGTCTTGGTGGAGAGGTAGTGGAAAAAAACAAAAAACACCCATGAAATAAATCTGTACTCAAAGAATTCAGCTTGCTTAACTTCCCAACTAAGTGATACTACTTTGGGGAACCATAACTGCTTTCCTTACTCCATCCCTTTTGTTTCACAGTGCCTTGTTCACAGCTCAATTATTTGAAGTCTTTATAGATCTGTTTCTCTCTTTTGTTGTTTCTGCTGTACACCTGGTTGTCTTTGACATTACTTCTGCCAGTCTTTGTGGTCACAAGTGACTTGTGGAGCATTTTAAACCAAGTTCGAAGCTTGAGTTTTGTTGTAAGTCTCGGCAATAAAACCCAGGTTATAAATCTGCTGAAGGTCTCGTTATTTATTATTCTGCTCTTACCCTTAGAGTATTGCTTTTTGAGGTCTCAGATGACTGTGAAGAGGGCTCCCTATTGGACTGTGCACCTTGTGTGGACATTGACCTTCGATATCTGCCTTCTTGCCTGGAACTTTTCAAAATAAAAGCTCAAGTTTGCAGGGAAATGCACTTAGGAAACAAAAGCAATTTCCCTGCTTGCTTATCTTTCAGTGGTTCCATTTTCCTTCAGTTTTGCCTAGCAATTCCTTATTATCATTCCAGCTGTTTGTTGCTTTTAAGAAGTTATTTATATTTTATCCAGTATTTCTAGTTTGTTTCAGCAGTAGTGTTTGTCTGAATACCTGGCTCCTATTAGCTGGAAACACATGCTGTTCATACAGGTGCTTAGTGTTTTGGTTGTTGATGTGATTTAGAAGTGATATAAAGACCATGTCACACAAAAAAGCTCAAACATGCTTTACCTCTGAAAATGTGGTTTCTAAAGAAGATTTTATTTAATTTTATACTTAGGTTTCCATATTTATGGAATATGAGTTTGCACGAGTGGGCATAAAATGAAAAGTGCTGGTCATGCTGTTATTAGTCCGTTCTCATACTGCTAATAAATATATACCAGAGACTGGGTAATTTATAAAGGAAAGGGAGATTTAATGGACTCACAGTTCCAAATAGCTGGGGAGGCCTCACAATCATGGTGGAAGGCGAAGGAGGAGCAAAGGCACATCTTACCTGGCCGCAGGCAAGAGAGTGTGTGCAGGGGAACTGCCCTTTATAAAATCATGGGATCTTGTGAGTCTTACTCACTATCATGAGAACAGCATGGGAGAAACCTACCCCATGATTCAATTACTTCCCACTGGGTCCCTCCCATGACACGTGGGGATTATGGGAGCTACAATTCAAGATGAGATTTGGGTGGTCAAACCGTATCTCATGCCTAAAGCAAGAAACAAGGAATCCCTAGCAATAGATTTTATTTGCAGTTTAGTTAAACAACAGGTGCAAGCATATCTTATGTCTGTTGGTAAAGAAGTGAAAATGGATCACAGAAGCTCTTTCAGAGGGAAAAAAAGAGTTAAATATGATAGCATCCAGAAGCATTAATAATCCAGATGTTTACAACTTCATAAAAATTGCCAAGTACGCATGGATACAATAGTCATTTTCACCAGGTGAAAAATGACCAGATGGTAGCACTTCAATTCTCTGGTGCCAACAATGCAGCCACAGGGGGATTGTTTTTTGAGTGGCTGTGCTATTGAAACATGTTTTATAAGTATTCTATATTTATCGTAGTATCTGCTGCACAGGACTTTACTAGCCATAGAATTGGTTGTTGGAATTGCTGAAAGTGTTTATGTTTGTGTTTTAACAATAAGGGCTTTGGGTTGGGAAACTGGAGACCTGACACTTTATCAGTGATTTCATGTTTGATCTATAGTTGATTTGGATGTGCTCTAATATTACATTTTGCCATTTTTCTATTGTTAATTTTGAAAAATAAGAAAATATTTTTGCTAATTATTTACTGGCCAAGCATACTGAATTCATGGTCTATAAAAAGTACAGAATAATAGCCCAGTCATTTAAAATCACATTTACAGGCTTTTAAGCATTATTAATTTATATGTAAATACAAAATTATTTTGTGAAAATTTAAGATACACATGGCTTAAATTTAGAGTCACATAAAGAATAACAATTAAAAATAGTTCTGTCCCAATTAGGAGAAATCAATCTTTTTCTTTTGCAAATAGTCTAATTAAAATATTCTATCAAAGGTTTATCCAAATGACACATCTAGTTGACACTGTATAAATGTAAAACTTACAGGTATTGATCAAACTTACCAATAAAATTGTTTCCCTTGAGATGCTAAAGCTGTTAACATATAATTTCTGAGTAAAAATATAATTACTAAAGAAAACAACAAATTTCTTCATGGATAAAGGCACGACATAAATGAGCACACAAAAGCATCCTCAGTGACCTTGAGGGTTAAGAGGCTTGAGATTGAATTTTCACATTTTAACCACAATTCAGTGCTTTTCATTTGACCAAAGTAAAAGGGCTAAGAAATATACCCAGAGCTTTTATAAAAAGCTGTTACAAACCAAAAGGGGAAGTTATATGTGTTTTAAAACACGGCAATAAATAGAGGAGTTAGATATTAACTGTAGTGTTCCAATCCTTTAATAGACTATGAGGATTTCTTATCCAAAATCAGTATATTTTTTGGAAAAAAAACCTTGTGAGCAATAGAATAAAATATCATTTATGAGAAGAAAGCAGCCCTGAGAAGCCATTTGAAGATATTAGTTTCAAACTTGGGCTAAGCATTTGAAGATTTTGAAGCAGCTTTCTATCAAGATGTGAATATTAGTAATTGCAGTCACTGTAGATTATACAAAGTGACTGAGGTGTTCCAGGAAGGCTGAAAAGAAACACTTCTATGGCTGGATTTTCATATCCATGAGGACAAGGGTTTTGTCATTTTTGTTACCAGATCCCCAGTGCTTCCTGGCTGGCTCATAGTAGGCCTTTAGTAACTGTGTTTGATAAGAAGATACAACCATAAAAAGAAGCTGTGTATGCTAATAAGATGGGGACAATAAGAAAGTTTTTATTTTAAATAAAGGATATTTTAAAAGGATAATTTTAAGTTCAATCCCTAGGCTTTCAGTTTAAGATACTATTATAGTAAATTAAAAGAATGATTTTAACATCCTGGGGCTTTTCTGATTCTGGAATAAATTTCTTTATTTTCTGTCAAAGAGAGCACACAAAATACATTTGTTTAGGAAGTTCTAGTGAGGGGATTTTTTCATCAGAAGAGTTTTCACAACTAGCAAATCCAGCCTGTTTACACAGGCAGACTCCACAAGCTGGGCTGTTGCACACTCATCTTTGTCCATTTGGGAATGAGTGATTGAGGCTGGAGTGGGGTTGGGAGGATGCAGGGGGAGACAGAATGTGTATGGAAATGTCTTTTGCTTCTGAACTGTGGCTTTTTCAGTGTTCCCTTCTCTGTACCTTTCCCTTCCCTCTGCCCACTGCAGTGTGGCTGCTGCCTGTAATCCCCAGACTTCCTCTGTCATAATAAAGGGAGGTCTGTGGTGACAGAATGGTCACTATTTATGACCTACACTTTCTGCAGCTCTATCTTCTTTATGTCAAGGGGTGTCCCGAGGGTAGCTTTTCATTCCTTGTCTGTTGGCCATTGTTACTAGCTAGAAATTTTCTGTGAAACTTCAGAAGTGTTATGAGCTTGAGAGGCATACACTTGGGGGGTCTTGAGACTGCTTCTACATCTCCTTCTCAGCCTATGAAAACCGCCTGTTTTGATTTGGAGCTGGAGTGTCCTTGTTTCCTTTCCTCAGGCAGGAGTAGAAGGAAGATATCCTTTGGGCATTCTCATTTTAGCCAAATCATCTCCTTGTGGAAACATTCTTATCACAAGAAAGTAGGATCTATTATATTATGAGCAAGCTTTTCTTGGTAATTTTGCATTATCAAATTGGCTTTTGGGTTTGGCTTCAGGTAAAACAAATTGAGAGTGCTATGCCATTGGACTCACTTACTCAGTTTGCTTTTCCTTACCTCGATCACTCATTAGTCCCAAAAAACAGAGGAAGCCTCAACTATGGATTAACACCATGAACTTGATTAGAATAATGAACTCTTGGCACATAGTTCAAACATAGTTCAAGTGAGCACATTCTTTTTTTTTTTTCCCTGATTAGGTGATGTTTTAACTGTCTTTGTAGTGCATCTGCTTCTCTTTCCACTTAGCACCCATACCACATTTGTGGTAGAGTGACGATATATGCTGTTCAATTGCATAGCTGCTTCTCCTGGGCAGGGCTAGGGAAAGTGAAGGGGGAGATTAAGTTGCATGTGGCTAGCTCAGTTGTTATTAAACGCTGCCTGACTGATGCCTGATGTCTGCAGAGGATTTTCTTTGGAATTTGATCAATGGAGTGCTGGACAGTGAGGACAGCAAATGGCCATTTTATCTCCTGTCTTTAAAATAAAATATGCCCTCTCTGAAGGACAGTCTATGCTGGCTCTCAAGTTTAAATGTGAACGGACAGTGTGCTCCTTACCTTTGAAGGCAGACACAAGTTTATCCCATTGATGGTCATGATGCTTTGTGGAAGGAATCAGCTTTTGTTACGAGCTCAAAATTCAGCCAGAATTATATCTCTGCTGGAGGTTTGATGGGAAGAGCCTTTTAATGTGGTGCATGCATCATTTCAATGGCTGTGAGCTCCTGGAATTGGAACCTGGTGCCTTGTCTGTGCAGAGGTCAGCTGGTGAGTATGAGCTACTCTCTTTCCTCAGAGAACTGATACCAATTATTTTCCATTCAAATAGAAATCATAGTTAAGTTTGAGCAACACAAGTATACAAGAAGGAAAGATTTTAAAAACATCAATTTCTCATCAGCTTACTACTGAATAAGCTAGTTATAAAGAGGCAAAGTTACCACTCTGTGTAGGAATGTCTAATCTGCCTAGCTTTCTTAAAAGGATTATGTGCTACTATCTCCTATGGGAGCAATCTGTTCCTTAATTAAGGAAAAGAGAAATAAAAATCACACACTACGAATGGACTTGTGATGAGTTTATTTTGTTTACAAATATTTATACTAATTGTCTGGGATTTCCTGTTTTGTGATTTGAATAGTAAGAGCCCTCAATGAGGGCTTTTTGAGTGGGTTCCTTTTCCGAGGTGAGTTGATTTAAGAGCCCTGAACCTTGGCCCTCCTGCCCTTGAGAGCCATCCCAAGGAAAGATACCTGGAAAAAATTATTTGGCTTCTAGTGTCCTCATCTATAAAAACATGGTGACTCTGCTTCTCTGTCACACTTAAAGATATTATGAGAAAATGTAAGCAAAGTAGTGTAATTATGATTCTTAAAGATGTGGCAATCACAGTGCTTTGTGCAATGCGTATGTCGGTCAATCTAACATCTAACAAACTATCACCTGGTTCATTACCTTTTCTTTATGAGACAAAGATAAAAAGAGCTGTCATACTTGTTTATAGAAAGTAAAAGAGTCTTAGAGACTAAGACTCTGTTAACCATCCCTAAATTTTTTTTTACTTATTAAGTTGAAGTTTAAAAAATGTGTAAAAATGTATAATTTTCCTGGCATTAGAAAACAACATAATGAAATTAATAACTGTTTGATTTTACAAGAGAGTCTATATTGAGCTCATTAAAAGCCAATGAAATAAAAGGTTTTTTTTGACAACAGGAACTCCTCACTTTCTTCTCTATCTGTGCTGATGATTTTTCACTTTCTTAATGAGGTTTCTAGAAGAGGAGAGGATATTTTGATAGTGTATCAGCAGATTCTAAAGGGGCAGTGGAAAGGTCTTGTGCCAGAAGAAGCTGGAGTCACCCTCACAACAGGAAAACCATTGCAGGAGGCTTAGCCACATTTCCTTGGGACTCATGCTATTAAGCTAAATGGACATCCACCAATCAAGTAAGACTTGCTTGTTGCGAACATTTTTTTAAAAGTAGAAGGAAAGAAAATGCCAGATGGCATTCAGAACACCCTGTGCTCTAGTCTTGCTGCTTTCCCTGAACCACCTTCTTTCCTAATGACTGCTTTGACACCACAACAGCTGATTCTCCAGAGTACTTCAGAGGACAAAATGTTTGAGGTATGCTATGTCAAGTGGTAGACGGTGACTCCCCTGGCCAAGGAGATAGAAGAATCCTCCCCACATCCACACATTATCTTTGCAGAAAGCCTGAATGACTATGTGTATTTCTCTGTAAATATGTAAAAGGTTTTTCAGACAAGGGAGTTTGAAGGGCTTAGATACTAATGAAGCTGATTTGTTTTTATTTTTGTTTTTTTGGAACATGAATTTTCAGCTGTTCAGATCAGAGAAAGCTAATGCTCCCCATATATGATAAAAACTGCTCCCTTCTCTCCCTTCCTCTACCCTCTGTAAGTTGACTGACCATCATATCAACAATACAACACTGATCCATGCCATGGTGATTACTGTTTTCTTTGACTTTCGAATCAGATTAAGTGCTAGGTTCTCTGTACTACTGTGGAATGCATTTTGCTTGCTTATGGGATATTTTATTAATCTTAGTGCTTTCAACTCAGTTTAGGTAAAAGGAAAAATGATAAATTATGTTATATAAACTATAACATGTACCATCCACATTAGTATTTTCCCTCCTAGAAGAGTTGCTCTCTTACTATCTTTATGTAGTGCAAGAAATGAGACTTTACGTTCTTCATTTATGGAAGCAGATATGTCATAAGGGTTAGGATACAAAAACATATCATTTTCTAGGAGAGCATTTTTAATGTTATTTTACTCTTTTCCTAACAATAGCATATATGTAGACTCAGATTATATTGTTTTACTATCAATGATTATAATAGTGAAAACCCTTCTCCTAAAATGCAACAGTTGTGTGTATTGGGAAGGAACGTCCATAGTCCTCTATATACAATATAGTGGTATGATTCTGTCTCCAGCTAAGAATGAATAACTAAGAAGTGAGTGCCATCCTTGGCATCCTATTAGACCTCGATAAAACTATGGCAGTATAGGTAATTGGAATACTATAGAGAACTTCATCTTCTTGAGTTAACAGCTTGTATCCTCTTTCCTCTTTCATTGAGCCTCCCTATTGGGTGTATATACAGCAACATTCAGAAATACTAATCCTGCTTTACTTCATCACATTGCTTTTCAAGTAAATTTGCATTTAACAAAAGCCTTTGATAATTAATAATGAGTACCTATGTGCCCTCTTTGAGTGATAAAGAGTGGCTTGGGTGGTGCCTGCTTTCCTCTTTCCCATTCTCTATCCCTGCCTTCCTCTCCCTCTTTTGAGCTCCCCGCTCTTTCTCCCAGGAAAACCTCGCTGAGCCCAGATTATATTGTTTGTTCACTGACAGCTCTTTTCTATGCTTAATGCAGCTCCCTAATTCAGCCTCACGTGGATCTGTAAATGGTACAGTGAGGACCCGGCTACTTCTAGCCCTTCCCAGACCTGCTCACCCCTGTATTGCCACGGCAGTGGCAAGTAACTCCAACTGTGCTCCTCTTCTCCCAAAACAGCAACGTCGATTCTTTACTTTAAATGAACCTTGGAGAAGGAAAGGGCTGTGAGATGAAAAAGGCAGGAATTCATGTCATGTGCTACAGCAGAGCAGCCGTAGCAACGGCAGTAACAGCAGTAGCACGGCAGCAGCAGCAGCAGCAGCAGCAGAGTCCTTTAGCGAGACTGCACCATTTTCTTCTCACCCTGCATAGAGGTGTGGTTGGAAGCAGCAATAAACTACCCACCCCCTAGCAGTTTCACAGAGGTGGCCTCTTCCTGGCTCCAGTCAGAAGACACAGTCTGTCTGGAGGAGTCCCCAAAGACTGTTCCAATTGGTGATGTGTGTCTAAGGATGGCTTTTTCAACTAGTAGGATGCTTCTCTGCACTTGCAGCCACCCAACTGCTGAAGAGCTGGAAGTCTAGTGCTCCGCCTTCCCCCGGGACCATTTCTGAGTGTGGGTGCACACCTATGCCTGTGTGCGTGCAGGTGTGTGCTGCTGGAGGTCTCGGTTTGGGACCTTAGTTCATTGTAGTGAGTTGTGGGTGCTGCAGAGGCTGGAGCAAGATTATGACCTAGCTCGGGGGCGGAGTGGATTATCTTGTGAGTGTTCTGGCTGCCAGCCATTGCCCTGGTGGGGAAAATCACATCTCCATAGAGCTCTGAAATCACCTGGATTGCTGGGGAGTGGAAACTGATCCTCTGCTACTGCTTCTGCTGATTTCCTCTGCAAAATGGCTCACGCTGCTGCTTCTATTAAAAAAGTTCGAGAGGCTGATCTGGATGAAAAGGAAAAAAATCTTGAGAGAGACAGAAAAAAACAACGGAAAATCCCCAGAGAACGTATGGAACGAAAAAGAAAGGTATGAGGAGCATCCTTTTAACCCTCTTTCTCTGCAGCTCTGTGTAGCACCATCAGCCTCAGAACTGGCAACTTCATCCTCCCTTCCTTCCATCATTCCCCTGCACCATTTCTAAGCTCAGTTTGCAGCCTAGAGCTCATGCCTACATTTGCTGCATTGGGAGGAGATGCTTGAGCAGGGTGAATTTCCTTTGCTTTGACCAAGCAAGGCAAAAATGCCTCCACTTCATTTTTCTTTTTTTTTGTCTCAATTATCTTTATTTAATCTCAAAGCTAGGTGCTTTATCTCTTCAGGCTACTCTTAGTACTGGGCACAGAAGAAGGAAGGGGTTGATTTACGGTTGGAGGGTTAAAGTATTTTCTTCTTCTTGTTCCTCATCTCTATTACTCTATCTTTAGCAGTGTGTCTTCTCACTGACTGTATATTTGATGTAGACCTCTAGTTAAGAATAAACTAAAGATTTTATGTGCTCTCTTTTTCCCTCCTGGAGGTTTACACCCGGTTTTCACTTCTTAGTGAAGCTGCACTAAGAATATTGGTGCAGTGAGCTGTGTCTCTGCATTTTTAAAATTTTAATTAATTTTTTTGTTTTCTATCATTAATCCTTTAATTTTCTTTTCTGAATATGGCAATGAAATCAAAACAACCAAGGTTAAACAAGGGATGAAATGTTGATTCCTTTTACATTGAACTATTGTTTCTTTCTCTTAAAATATTGTTTTCCTTTATAATAGAAATAATCTTACAACTTGATGGAACTGAAATACTCATTTAGTCAGTGATCTAGATCTATAAAGAAAGACCTCTGTAAATGTTTTAATTAACAAAGTAGGTCACTGAATAATTTCAGAAGATGATAAATGGCTTATTACATTAGCAGAGCATTAAAATAGTGGTTTGTACACAAGCTGTTGTTAAACATAGCTCTGGGATTAGGGATGCAATGGGGATCCATATACTTAATAATCCATATGCTCAATGGACTCTTTTTTTCTTCCATAATAGATATGTTTACCTTTCAATTTGGGGGATGTTGTCTTTGCCTCACTTTTGGAAAGACACTTGAGAACCAACATTGAGTTGAGATCTTACTGCATAGGGATTCATTGCATTTCAGTTTACTACTTATCTCACCACCAACTAGATCAAATGACTGTTACTAGGCTACAGAAATAAAATTAGCAGTATATAATGATTTCCCTTCTGGGGAAAACTTTCATACTGCTTGTCTGACCTTTAAAAGGCCGTGTTGTTTCAAGATTGCATTAATTCTTTTTTTTAGTATCAAAAGTATTATTAGCCATTTTGTGGAGGTCGACTTCCTTCTTGACAGCGACTGCAGTTCTGTTTCTAATGCTCTAAATGGAACATTATTGTATAAAGAATTTTCTGTGATTATATCTTTTTTATCTTTTGTTCTCCAAAACACAGTATATGATTTCTTGGCTAGCGGCCCTTGTCAGCATTCAGCTGTGACCTAGCAACTTTGCTTAGCTAGAGTACCATGCATACACCTGGAAAATCACTTGTTCTCACTCTGGTTTGTTTCTGTATCTAGTTGAATGTTTTTCCCTTTCCAAACCTTGATAAAAACAGAAAAACTGAAAAACTGTACTGTTAAAATAAAAGGTGCCAGTTGTTGTTGAGAATCTCAGTTGCTTGGATGCTTCATTGCTTTAGCTTGAATCCAGAACCATAGGCAAGATTATTGGTTAGTAATGTGGTCATATGACAGGATCATCTGGTCTTCACATGTAGATATTATATCTAAGCTAGAACCAGAGTAAATTAGGAAAATAAAGGCATAGCTAGTATTTGTCCTTGTTCCTCTTTTTTCATGTGCACCTATTGCTCCTCCTCCCTTTTCTACTGCAGATATTTACACAGCACAACAAACTTGCTAAAAGAGTGGGTGTGCTTTTTAGCTATATTATATTTATTTTCTAGATAGACAGTCCCTCCCCCAACCCCACCACACACACATAAGCACTGAACCAGTTTTCAATTTTCTTTTGAAAAAAAGAAATTTACCTCATCATCATACCTTAAGGTGTACATCATACCTTAAGGTGTACATACCTTCATGATAGTTCATGAAGAAATGAAAAAAAAATGGTAGCCTATTAGTGGCATTCTGGAATACCATCTGCAGAAAGTAATTTTAAAATTATCATCGTTTATTTGCTGATGCCACTTTATCATCATAAGGGAAAGCATCAGTTGTAGAGATGATTGAGTATATCATTTTCATATCCATTTGTAGTGCCTCTTACTAATGAAACTGTTTATTTGAAAAATTCAGATGAGATCCACCCCAATGCAGATAAAAGCCAATTATGGGGCTTGAAAGAAAATAAATAAGCTGATTTTGAAGGATTTTTACCAAGGTAAAGATATTGCACATTAAAATCAATTAAGCAGTCACATTTAATCTTTATTTTAATATTCTTTTGTAAACTTACTGTTAATTAAAAGAATATTTGTATTATTATTTTGTACTCCTTAAAACATTTAAAATTAATTTTAATTATTTGTAAACTTGAAACATGTTGCATACTTGACTATAACCCCTCTACCAAGTTGCCAGTGGTGTTGTATTAAAACAATATATACTAAGAGATCTACTTTCAACCTCATTATAAGCAGAACTTATCTTACTATAATATGTTCAGATTTCTTTGGGCTATACTCTGGTTAGCTAATATTTAAATATGGTATAGTACCGAATATCTATTGTATGTGTCATACTATGTAGAGCTAAAATAAAACTAAGCTTTAAACAAATAGGCAAAGATTAAGATGAGTTAAACTAATTTAGTATGTTTGCTGAAGAGTTCATTAATCTGGAATTTTACAAAAATCAGAATATCTCTATTCTAATTATTAGCTTATATTAGCAAGTAATTTCTTTGTATGTCCAGATTTTGCCAGTTTTTATGTTGGAATCTGAGAATTTTAGAATTGAGGAGGATGCCAACAAAAAATGGTTAAGTGATTTATCAGCGTTTTCACAAATTTGCGAGACTTAGTTCTAAAAAGTGATTTGAAGTTGAATATTCTTTCCACAACTAGATACTATTTCCCAACTGTACGTTTTTTAAAATTTGAAAAATACATAATTTTTAGAGAATGAGTAAACAAATTTATTCTTGAAAGTAAAACATATATTTATTTTATTTATTTTAAAACTTTATTATAAGTTCAGGGGTACATGTTCAGGATGTGCAGGTTTGTTACACAGGTAAATGTGTATCATGGGGGTTTGCTGTGCAGATTATTTCATCACCCAGGTGTTAAGCCTGGTACCAATTGGTGATTTTTCCTGATCCTGTCCCTCCTCCCAACCTGCATCCTCCAATAAGCCCCAGTGTGTTGTTCCCCTCAATGTGTCCATGTGTTCTCATCATTTAGTTCACACTTATAAGTAAGAACATAAAGTATATATTTAAATAATATTTATCACTTAAATTCAGGATCACCATAAATTTTCAAATAAATCAATATGTTCACCATTTCTCAGCACAGACAAACTATTGTCCAATCAATCATAATGTCTACAATACTCACTGGAATCATATGACTTAAAAGGCAAATGTATGACTAGTTCTTAACATCCTGATGCTTAAAACATTCTTTTTATTATTTTAATTTATACTATTAAAATGCCAGAGTTCACATTTTCTGAAAAAATATTTGTGATCATTTATTAAGTACCCATGTGGTCATGTATCTGACACTTTACACACATCGTGCTGTTAACCATGATAACAATCCTATATATTAGGTATTATTCTCTGGATTTCACAAACAAGGAAATTGCTTAATCACACACAAGTAGCATGTGGCAGAGTTGGGATTTGAATCCAGGTCTGTCTGGCTCTAAAGTTCATTGGAGAAAAAAAGTAATATTATTTCTTGGTCTTGTACCTACACTGGGTGTAGATTATAAGGAAATCACTTATTCCACCAATGCTTCAATTTCTTCACTTCTAAATTACCTTCCTACAGCTGAAAGAAATTTAAATACTGTGATAGTAAATTAAATGATGAATTTGAGGGGGAAATTATGTAAATTCGTGTTGGGATTCTATCAAAATTGCACCAAAATATTTCATGAGATTTCTTGGAAAATCAACTATTAGAAGTCAACATTTGCTCTTCAAATTGAGGTCAATTACTGGCAATTATAGACTATGATATATAATCATTTTTTGTCACAATTTTATTAGGACTTCAAGATGTATTTGCAAATCTACTTTTATTAAACTGATAGGTGATTTTGCATGGGATTAAGTAGAAAATTAAAAAAAAGCCTCCTTTTGAGTTGTTTTCATTTAATTTCACAGTAAAAGGTTCTGATTAGTTATTTGCTTTTAAAAATGTACACAGTTATTATCTTGGTGAGAACAAGACTTATTTCTAGGATAGGCTTTGGGGAAATCTCCCCCCCCACCACATTCTTCTTGTTCATTTGCTTATTTAATTGATAGCAATGATAATACTTATTGAGTATATATAATAAAGTTCTCATCAAGTTGTAACGGGACATGGAGCAATGAAGATTTTTAGAAGTTATATTAGTATTTTTTCTTAATTTAAAGTGTTTTATTTGCAAGTTGAGAGTGGAATGTATTCTATAACTTTGGAATTGTGTTATAAGAATGAGTTGAAAGTGAATTGTGTTATAAGAATGAGTTGAAAGTGTGTTATAAGAATGAGTTGAAAGTTGTGTTATAAGAATGAGTTGAAAGTGAAACATAGTGTAAAACTGAGCATGCTTTCCCTGGTGGTCTGTGGGTAAAGACTGCAGTGTAGGAGGAGATTGGACAGCCTAGTCATCCCTCTCATTTTTGAGCCTTCTGCTTGGGCACTCAGCAGCCTGTTTCTGAAGGGAAGTCCAACTACGGAAGTTGCAACACTTAGTCAAGAACCATGTATGCACAAAGATGTCTGGACACCAAACCAAATACACTGTGATTAAAAATACAAGTCACAGCCAGAATAACATGGCACTGTATAATGTGTTACATTCTAGAACTCTACAAACATGGGAAATCTGAGTCAACAGTTTTTAAAACCTGCATGGAATTGTCTTTATGTTAACTTCCCAGAACCCCTTCATCAGTATGTCAGTATTTCCAGAAACCACATTAACATAAAGTTGATTGGTGCTGTCTTGAGTTTTATCTGGACAGATGCTCTTCTTATGTCTTAGTGTCTACTTATATGTGAAAATTCAAAAGTTTTATTGGTTTGCTCTTCCCATTTTGAGTCTAAATAAAAATGTTCAGCCATATCTATTTAAATGTGGTAGTTTCCATAGAATCATTATTATTATTTAAAACCCATTATCTTTTTCTTTATCACTCCTCTGATTTCTCTTCTTAGCTCAGTTCACAAATCCTTTCTTGGCTAGAATCATTATCTTTAAATAAATGACTTGCATTATTAATGACACTCTTCACCAGCACCATAAAGCTGAGTTTTTATTATAAATAAATTTATATATTTATTAATTATAAAGAACTTCTTTTGACCATTGCATGGGTGACTAATAGCTTAGGTTTACAGCTGTCAAATTTGTGCAATTGTGGCAAAAATAGTCCCAATTGTATGGCTTGAGGTAAGTTTTAAGAAGACAGTTGAAAGAAAAAGAAAATTTTAATTGAAAAAAGCTACTATGAGGGATTGACTTATTTTTGGAATCTAAAATCTTATACACACTCAATGTAATTTTTTTCCTATTTTATTACATTAATCTGTGTTTATATAAATGTTTTAATCTTTAAAAAATCAGAATTAATTCTTTCGTTACCTTTATTATCAAACTTAATTTTATTAGTCCCCTTATTCACCAATTGATTAAAAATAATGATATTTACACTATATTTTGACATCATCATGAATACAGAAAATATTTTATAGAAAGATTTAAGAGTCAGTGAAAGTACAAGCAAGTTAAGACTTCTACTCATGCCATATTTAATGATCTACTTGTGTTTATATTTTTCCATTATGCCACTCTTTTTTATTTGTATTTCTCAAAATAATTTCTTCTTTACAATAGTCTCAGTCACAGAGACATTATATACTAAAATAAAGTGTAAAGAAGACTTTTCTCAAATTCTGGATTTCTGCATAAATTGCTAGTGAAGTCATCAGCTATTTGAGTGTGACCCTTTTGCTCCAAAGGTGAGCTGTGATTTTAAATGTTTATTGTGGAAAGTCTCAACAGAATCATCTGGTTCTATCCCATTCATAATAAGTCAGAATCCTGGGGTAGACTGGAAGGGAAAAGAGACCATAATCCATATATTTTTAAAGCTCCCTTGGTGATTCCAACCAGGGTTGGAAATGACTAGAATAAACATTTCCATTCCCCCACCAACCCCTACTCTACTCCATCTTGAAATTTCAAGCGATCGTAGATTTACTTCTAATAATCAGTATGACTCTAATTTTTTCATGTGTAGATAGGAGACACCCTGGCAACTTTCTGAAAGTTTAATAAGACTAATTGGTTTATGTAATAACCAATTAATTCTGAGCACAGAAAGGAGGAAACAAGTGTTTAAGAGATAAGTTGCAAGACTTCATGATCTGCAGTTTGACTAACTTTGCCCTAATGGAATAATCTTCAGGAAATAAGGTTGTGTGTAAATGACTTTTATGTAACTAAGCTCAAACAGGTGGAGAAGTTATCCAAGCTAAGTTTTTAAAGGAAGACCACTACATTGTGAATTTAAAATTATGTCTTAAACACGTTATGCTGTTTTGAAAGAACTCAAGTTAGTGTCCTAGGGATTTAATTGGTAGCTTAGCAGCCTTGGAGGCCTCAAACCTTTGGAGAGGTCAGCACTTCTAGGACTCCTAACACAAGTCAACAACTACCTTTTGTGTTTTGTACTTGACTTTGATAGATCTTTTCAAAATTATGTAATATGACATTAATTTAGTAAGAAAGAAGGAATAAGTAATTCATAGATGAGTTATCTCCCCTAATTCTTCAGATATTCTCTTTCAATACTCCTAACTCTTCAACTTCTCACAGTGCCAGGATCTTTTGTTTGGTTGGTTGGTCAGTTGTTCTGTTTCTGTTTTTGTTTTTTTCATGAAACTGCTCTCTCACTGTCTTTCTGGTTCACCACAGTTTCCAGAGCAGTCAGAAAGGGATTCCTTACTCAGTTGTACAGGATTCTGAAATGTACTTTTTAGCATGTACAGTTGGAATTCCTTCTTCCATGTTCCTTTACTTCATTAGCAACTTTGCCAGGGAAAACTCTTTTTTCTCTCATTAGAGTTTCATTTATATCCAACTTAGCCTTTTTCTAGAGAAATTATTTCATTGTATATCATTATTATGTTGCTTATCATAGGGGAACACCTCAACAGAAAACAATGTAAGTAGTATTAAGGAAGAGAATATGTGGGCTGGGTGTGGTGGCTCATGTCTGTAATCCCAGCACTTTGGGAGGCTGAGACGTGAGGAGAGCTTGAAGCCAGGAGTTGAAGACCAGGCCAGGCAGCATAGAGAGATCCCCATCTCTTTTAAAAAAAAATCAGAGATATGACAATCATTATAAACATGTATCTTAATCTAATCAATTTATTTGGTTAAGACTAATGGTGTTATTTCACATTAACCTATATTTCTTGGCTTTTTATATATTTTTGCATAGAGACTTATTAATTACCAATTTTAACTCACTTGTTTATAGTTTGTCTGTAAAAAAAGCCTTCAATTAAGACTGAAAATGACCTCTCTTTGTGTATTTGAATGTAATTAATGATGGTTTTTCCAAAAGTCTATTTTTTAGCGAAAAAACTTAATCTCTATGTTATTTTTTCATAAATAAATAATGTTAACCTCACAAACATGAATTCTAATAATCTACTTTACTTTTATTATTATAAAGATCAAATATGATTTTTGCGTTTGAAACAAAGTTTAGCCGATAACCCTTTCAAGACATTCAGCAGGATAAGAGGTGGATGTGAAATCTAAGATTATAAAAAACAGGCAACATACCAGAAAGCTGTTTACTAAGTTAATAAAGTATATTTATACAAAATTACCAGATACTTCTAAAGCTCCATAAAAACAAATTCAGGAGACCTCTGCTTAATTCTGTCTACTCACTACAACCTTGGGTAAACAAATGACCTCAGTTTTTGCATCTATAAAATGATAAGGATCTGAGATCTGTTAGAATTCTTCCTGTCTTTATGCTTCTGTGTCATTTTAATTGTTTCTTTGCTTCCCTTTATTATTATAAATGATTAAGACAGTTGGTAGAATTTCCAGGTTTTTCTTCATTTAAGATAAATTTTTTTTGAGCTGACACTATGTCGTAGACAGAGTACCTTTACCCAAGGAGCTCATAGACCTCCTTGGGTGATAGGAACTTTTCACAGATAATAAGAATGAAATGTTAGTTGTGCCACTATGTTAGAATTGAGATTGTCTATTTTTGTTTATATGACGCAAGTTTTCTTTAATAGGTGTTACCTGGGAGATGAAATAATGGAAGGAAATAGTTCCTGTTGTGGTGCATGAAATTTTATGGAAGTTATTAAGACTGGGTATATACAAAATGAAGTAATCATATAAAGCTCTATGGTTGTTTTGTATTTCAGATACTGATTTGAGCCATTTTGAAGGAAGAAATTTATTGTGGTTCCCTGAGAACCACAGTTGATTTCTCCTGAAGTTTATTCTCACTTTTCTTTTAGGTACTCTGTACACTGATAATACCAGGAGTTAGAAATTCACAGAGAAATATCATCATTGTTTAATTAATCATTTTACAAAGATCTGATGGCAGTAATGATAGCTGCCTTTAAATTGCAGGGTGCTGTAATAAACAAAAGTCCACAGTAAACGCTTAAACCTCAGCAATTCACAAACCTTTCAATTGTACAGCTTAGTGAAAATAAATCTCCTGAGTTCTTCTACAGGTAGTAGTACAAACTTCCTTATTTATGGCTCCTGCCTCAAACTGGGCCAGAATGCTTAATTAAACCATGTCACATCCTAAAATGACTGAAACCAATAAAATGTAAGTGGAACAGGTTACCTGGAAACAGTAACTTCTTTGAGGACAGAGGTTACTTAGGAAATGAGCTTTCGTTCAGGGTGGTCACCTACAAAACATGGGGCTTCACTGTGGGCTCCGAGGGACAGGAATCAAAGCCTGGGTGTGGGTGGGAGAGAGAAAAGCCATCTGTGAAATCACACGTTTCCATTACTGGGGAGAAGGGAGACAACAAAGGACCCAGTAGCAGATGCCAATTCTCTGACTACAAACACATTATCGAATATAAGGGCCCTTGTATATAACATCAAGCACTCATACTCAGTCTTTCAACACAAGGGACAATATTTTAGAACTTTCAGCTTTCATACTAGAAAAGAGAACCAAAATATAAAATAAGACTTTGTAATATGCTAATATGACAAATATTTTGCCATTGAAGGAAACTTGATGATTAAGACTAATTCCCATTAATCACTGTAATTGGCCTTCACATGAGGGCCTTCTGGGTTATGTATTCTTTAGTAAGTTGTATAAGAGCATCTGAAACAATTTAGTCACTCCAATGATCTTTAAAAGTTTGTAAAACTTTATTTTTGATCAAGAAATTCAGAGAATGATGCTTCTTAGTTTTAATCACATTTTCACTTACAATCAAACAGAAGCTCTTTTAAATTATGCTTGTTTTATTTATCTTCTTTCATGTCTTAGAAAAACATTTGCCATGCTTCACTTTTCCATCAAGCATCCTCCCTATTTCCAAAGTCGGTTCAGATGTATATAATATATATAATTCAGGGTATTGCAGTCCCTTGGATGGAAGAATTATTTGTTGAATAACTGCTATGAGCCAAATTTTAAATTGAGAGATAAAGATTATTTACTGAGTAAAAAAATATTTTCTCTCAAGTAACTTCCCTTTTAGATAGATATTTAAGGTCAATGGCAATGGAAAAATTAGAGTACAGAGCTAGATTAGGTATCATAACTTTTAAATTTTCTTTCTTTTTTTGTTTTTTTTTTTAATACATAGTAGATGTGTATATTTACAGGGTACATGAGATGTTTTTATACAGGCATGTAATATGAAATAGCTGGTTGCTTTTAAGAGAGATTGTGGACTTGAGGATAGGTAGGTGGTAGGGTTGGCTTAGGTGGAGAGGGTACCTCAGAGGTTGAACATAGAAGCTGGTGAACAGCTTGGCATGATCAAAGTGGAAGGAAGGGGTTGGAAATAAAGTTGGAGCACTTACAGAGCAAAGAAGTAGCTGAACTCAGTGAAGCAAAAAATAAGCAGGTATGGAAGGTTCCTGTGATGAAGAAAGACTATGAGGGGGAAGTGAAGTGTCAAGGTCACCCAGAAGACTGTTATGGTAATCCAAGAGAGATGAACAGGGCTTGGATTGGAATGGTCATACCAGAAGAGCAGCAGGGAGGAAAACAGGATGGTTATCAGCACTCAACTAGGAATAAAGAAAAAAGAGAAGAGTGAATAAAAATAACTTTAAAGTTATATATTTCAATGATATTAAAAAATGCTTGTCATCAACAGAAATACAAATTTCATGTGCAAGTCAGAAGGAAAGTAAAAACACATTGCTTTATATGTGGTAAGTTTGAAGTGGTGGCAGGATGATGTTTATTTTCATTAATTGCAGAGACTTTATATGTAAAAAGCCAATAAATAAAAATGTGATCTTTCTCTTTGGGTATAGTAGGAAGAGAATGAAGTTTAGAGTTTGGAGTCCTTAATTCAAATCTTAGCTCTACCAAATTCTGGATGTCTGATCCCTGGCCTCAGTTGTCTCATCTGTAAACTGAGTTAATAATGATAATTATTTTTAAATGCACACGTATACGAAACAGAGTAATTCTAAGGATTAAAATGAAATGATGCTTTTGAAAGCACTTATGTGCATAGTAATATTACTTATTATATCACCATAGTCCCCCTTTTTATGTGAGAGGACAAAAGGAAATATGCTTAGTAAAATGATTAAAAATGTCCATGAAAATATCATATGAACTCGTTGTTATTTATTTATTTTTTTTATGAGACGAAGTCTCACTCTGTCACCAGGGCTGGAGTGCAGTGGCGCGATCTCGGCTCACTGCAACCTCTGGCTCCTGGGTTAAAGCGATTCTCCTGCCTTAGCCTCCCGAGTAGCTGGGATTACAGGCACCTGCCACTACGCCCAGCTAATTTTTTGTATTTTTAGTAGAGATGGGGTTTCACCGTATTGGCCAGGCTGGTCTGGAACTCCTGACCTTGTGATTCGTCCACCTCGGCTTCCCAAAGTGCTGGGATTACAGGCGTGAGCCACCGGAACTCGTTGTTTTTAATATATACACAGATAGATATAAAAACAAATACGTAGAGTTGTACGTTGTGTGTATACAGACATGTATTTCCTACCTCCCTTCACTTAGAGGGCCTAGAAGCAAGGATACTTCAGTAGCAATGAGCAAACCTAGCCTGCATCTTGGTTTCCAAACATAATTTTCCAACAGAAGAAAATATAACTTCTTGGGAAAATGGCTGATTTGAGTAAGAACAGGCTCGGAAAATGATGGGGCATATCAACCTGAAGCAGCTCCCAATGACTGAATACACAGAAATCTGAGCAACAAAATAACTAATAAAAACAAATAATAACTCATAGAATAAAAGAAATAGCCCGGGGTCTTTACTAATAGAAATAAATAATTGAATAAACAAGTAAATAAGTGGAGGAGAAGGGACAGATTTTTTTATAGTAGAATTCCAGTGAACAAATCTAGAAGAAATATGGAAATTATAACTAGTACAAAGGCAATCAGCAATCTAGCTTGTGTTTAACTATCAAAAATTGTATTAGCAAATTGTTTTCAACTATAGAATTCTGTAAAAATTAACCCATTGTGTTTAAGTCATCATAGAGGGAAAAAGTTGAGACACAATTGCTTTGTATAACTTGGAATGACTTTTGCTGGCTATTGAACTCCCAGATGTATTTAGAAAAAAAGATTATGTTATGAAATTGCCATTTTTAGGTGTTTATTCTAAAGATAAAATGGAATTACAAGTGCAAAACAGAATTTTTGTTTGTTTGTTTTAAACGTATGACTGCAAGTTTTACATAAATTATTATTTGAGTAAATAGCACATGCAAGGAGCTGCTATATAGTACATTAAATGATATAACCAAAATACCAGAAAACTATTTTGTTCATAGTACCATTTTTCAAATATCTGAAGTTGGTCTTTATTAACCATATGTCTGCATGATACTGAACATTGTACTTTTGAGATATATGATATTGGCATTGATGTAATGCATTTCTTATTTTACTATTTTATTCTTGATTCCTCTTTGAGTAAAATAAACTTAAAAGACCCTTTTTTGAGGTAATGAGTGGAAGTAGATTTTTAAAAATTTGTTGGTGATATTAACTACATGATGTTGAAAATAACAATTACAACTGACATTCATTGACCACTTTCTATCTCCCTTCTGTTTTGTGAAATTATAACTTTATTTAGTTTGAATTACTTAGATAACTGTCTCTTCTTCCACTTCTTTTTGCAACTAAGACATGCCATAAATCTGTGCAGGTATCTGTATAATATGCTGTTTCTGTTTCAGTGTTAATAATTTATAACTGAGACCTATTTCCACTTTGAACTAGGGTTCAGTAGGATGAAAACTAACTTTGTCTTTTATTTATCACACTTGATTGTCTAATAATTTCCATAAGCAGCAGTTGCTCTCCACATACAGATAGAACCCTACACCTAACGAATCTCTCCCTTGGTCCCTCCTAAAAAGGCACTCCATTTCTCATTTTCATTAACTTTGCTACAGCATGGCCAAACTCAGTAAAATTTTTTTTTCTGTTTTCTTTGTCTTTAATATTGTCTTTAATATTTCACCTGTCTGTTTCAATTTATCTTGGTAAAATATTTAGATATATAATATCTGTTCACTTTTGAAACTAAATTTTCAGTTTTAGTCAAATGTATAATGATACTGCAAGTTGAGCAAACTGTGATCAAAGACCATGATAGTACCTGTATTAATGTTACATGCGTGTTCTTTACATACCTAAGCAGTATAGTGACAACTGAGTGTGTTTACCTGGGAGAACTTTAGGTATTTTCCCTAAGCCCATGTACTTTGAGGTTTTAATGTGCAGGATGAGAACAGCATCCAGCCAGGAACAGCGTAATGCCCCGATGTCATGGGATTTGACAAGCTTGCTCTGCACCTAATAACCATAGGTTTCTATATCACATCATCTTTGCCTAAGACATAATAGATACTCTACTGATTCTAAATATCCAACACTATTTTTGTGTCCTAAACTTAAACTTCAAATTTGTCACAAGTTAATCTCCTGAATCAAACCTAGGAAGAGAAGTTTCCTTAGGCAACACATAGATTGTACCAATGCATAAACAGTTATTTGAGAATGAAACAGAACCAGAGCTTTGTGCTATTTTCATTTTTATAAATTAACAAGGAAATTAAAGATGTTATGAAGGATGAGACAAAAAAATTTCTGGAAAAATATTTTTGTCTTCCCTTGTACCATTTCTATTTAAATGTTAATGCACTGTGTTTCCATCTTAAAGTCAAACAAATGTTTAAAAACTGTAACAGTTTTTAATGAATAGTTTTATTAACTACTAATCCTCCTGTTTTCAATTCAAATTTCCTAGTCTTTGTAGAGCTTGAAACTTTCCTCTGGGATGCATGAAGTCTACTACTTCAGGCTGGCAATCCTCTCTCATAACTCCTATTTGCACTGTTTTCCTTTCCCCTTCATCTCAAGCCTTGTTCACACTCAGTGCCTATTGGTGGCATGTTTAGCTGCCCTGAAGCATAGCCTCTGTAACTTTCCTTGTTCTCTTTCAGTTTGACTTTGATGAATGCAATGCTCCTGCAATGAGAAAACTGTACACACCAGTGACCCAGGCATCTGAATTGTCTGGGAATAGGCTGCATTACTGAAATTTAGGGTCTACTCCTTGTTAGACATATCAGTGTTCCAATGACTTATAAAACATTTGATCCCTGATGGCTGTAGGTTTCTCTTGTTTGAAAGCTGCTAAAAAGCCTGCACATCATTGGAATGCAAAATTAAAACAAGAAGTAGAAGTGTGAAGCTCATTTAGACTTTTAAAAACTGGTCTAAGTGATTGTGGCATGTCAAAGTACTTTATACACTCCTAAGTGGAGACAAACCTGTGAAACAGAACACCAAAGGCACAATTGTGTTGCAACAAGCAGTATATTGTAACTGAGTTTAAAGCCCCCTAACATTCCTGCACACTAAAGCACAGTAGATTTAAATAGGATCTTTGTGATTCCACATATCCTAAAGAAGCAGTTTTTCTCTGTGTGAAACCACATGCATTTTCATAGAAGATTCAGGGATAAAAACACATCCGGGCAAGATATAAGAGTGAAATGTATAGACAAAAGGATTAAGGGCTCAAAGGCTTTTTTCTTCTTTTTCCCCTTTCCTCTTTGAGCTGAATTATCATTTAATGCCGTAGACTGGATAGGTCAAGAGTTTGACTGAACAGAGTCATAAAGTCAACTAGGAAAATATTTTTTACCATATAAAAGAAAAAATAGAAAACTATTCAGAGATGTCACAAGTATCAGACCATATGGTGTAATGCCACTTGATTAGAGGTTTATTTTTTCTAATTAGCTCATTTTGGAGTAGATTATTTGAGAATACTCATCCTTGGAATTGTTATGATATGATGTATATGCACATATGTATATATGTGGACATATTTATCTGTATTCTATATAGATGTATTTATCAAAATGCATTTCCGTTTTTATATGTTTTAATAATGTCTCTCCCTTCACTTTTTTCTCCTGGAGTTTTCAACATATTGAAGTTACAGTATTGCAGTTTTACTATAGTACATACTTCAAATGTACTTAAGGGAATGATCATTTGAATAAAATTTGACTAAGGGATAGATCCTTTTAATAAGTATGTGAAATTGATAGGAAATTTTTTAGATTAAAAAGTACTGAAATTTAAGGTATAGAATCATTCCACAGAACTACTTTGTACCCTGGAACTGGACCCCGTGGCATGATGGTAGCTTCTCAGCCAGACGGAGCCCATGAGATAGATGGCTCTGACAGGAACATTTGGGATCTGACATTAGATCTGTGGGTGGGGTGAAGAGAACTGATCTAGAGTAGATCATACTGGGTCCTACAGGGTATCCAGGCATGATATCACATAGTTGCTTCATCCACAATGTAGGAAATAGTCAACATTGGGGTTCTCACTCCAGCAGGGGGATACAGCAATGGGGAATTCCAGCAGCCATCTATACTTGGGAATCAAGGAAAAAGGGGCTGATCATTTGTTCTTGGCCATCATGATACTACCTGCTGATATTGATTATGGGACAAAGCTTCAGTATTGGGAAAGAAAAATGTTGTGATGATTCTACCTTCGGAGCTGTACTATTATTATACTTACAAACCTCTTCATGGCAGCCCTCCAGCTGGAAGGATGCACTAGAGTTTTGGTCATCCAGGCCAAATTCAGAAGTAAGAGTTAATTCTCTTCACTGACACCAGCAAGAGAAAAATGGAGTTATATTTTGAGGGCAACGTAATTATTGGTTGTTTCTAGATATAGTTGAAAGTATAAGGACTTGTTCCTAAATGGTAAGATAGGAGAGCAGGAACACTTAGTTTTCTGAAGATGACTTCATTATGAGTCAACATTAGATGGAAGTCGAAAAAAGTTTGACCTTTTATTCTGAAATTAAAGGTGAATGGAGACAGCAGGTGAGATGTATCAAGGGTCCCAGGCATGAGAAACTGATCCAGAGAAGAATGAGAGCATGTAGACTCTATACTCGACTTTTTACAATTGTTTATTATATTATTTAATTCTCACAATGGGGTAGATATTCTAAATCTCATTTTTTAGGGGAAGAAAATTATGCTTGAATATTTTGCTTGAAAAAGATTTTCCCCTCAAATTTCATGGCAAATAAATACCTTAAGTGACAGACCCCAGATGCCAGATTCCAAATCCCATGCCTTTTCGCTAAACCATGCTATACTACCACGTAATGTCTGATTTGTAGTATTTTTAACTTAAATTTTAGGGCAGATAATAAACAAACCTTAGACCCATCTGATTCAAAAAGAGAAAAAAATAATGGAGTTGAGGAAAAATAATCATAGTTAGCTTGCTGTGCAATGCTATATACTGGACACTGTCCTAAGTACTTAAGATGCACTGACTTATTTAATCTTTTCAGCAACACCATGAGGTAGAAATGATTATAACTCCCTTTTGTCCAATGGAAAAAGTGAGGTTTAAGAAGGAAGGAAGAGGTAAGACCCCAGATGACTTGAATCTGTGCTTCTCCAACTGACCTTATAATGCTATAAAGAAGAGTAGCTGGGATGAAAAATATATATCACCAAGTTACACAAAAATATTTCTAACCTTTCAAGGAACAGACAAACAAAATAGCAGGGGGAGTCTCTGAAGAATTATGATGTGATTTACACTACAGCAAGGTCCCTAATAATAAGATTACAGGAAGAAGGACAGAAGAGCTAGAGTTATCAAGTGCTGAAACCATCTATACTACTAGCACCTCCAATGATCAAAATAGCATCAAGGCCGATTTCTAAGTCTTGGATGTCATCAACAGGAATCTCTTGTTAGAGTAGAAGAGAGGTGAGGTAGGTTCTGGCCCAAAGTATCATATGACTGGCTAGTTTGGAGTTAGTTTATTAAACTGCAATGGAAGTAGCTCTAAAATTTCCTGAAAGTTGTCTTTTTTTTTTTTTTTTTTTTTTTTCTCACTGCAACCACAGAGAGAACCCAAGGACAAAATTCAAAGTAAAATGAAAAAGGAGGGCTACTGAGGTATTACTCACAACAAATACGAAAAGTTGGGGAGTGCATAGAGATCTCTGAATGCCTCTTGTGCTCTGCTGAACAATGAGGCCAAGGATCTGGAAGACATCTTTATACCATAGGAAAATTGATCCCCCCTTATCTTAGTATGGAATAATAATAAACTGAACTATGTTCTCCTTGTTCCAGAGCAAGGACAAAAAAACTACCTTCTACCTTATCAGAGATGTTTTTTTAACACTTGATCTCCAGGTCAGCTAAAATCAAATGTTATTAAAATAGAAAAGGCATATTTCAGTAAAATTGACATTTTAAAATGTCAGTGGTTAATGAAAGCCATAGTCTCTTTTATTGATAATTCTTTTTTTAGGAAGAATTTAGGACAAAATTAAACTGTCATGACATACTTCTTGGTCTACTAAATATTATATGACCTTTGTATTTAGTAAAACTTGACAAAATCAGATTAGAACTTTGCCATGTAGTTTAAGTTATCAAAATATGAAGTCAGATCAATTTTATGACCATAGAAACTTAAAAATTGGAAATTCTAATTTTAGACATTAGAAGTGGCATGACTAAAGTTTTATGGTGTCCATTTCTTCAGGATGCACAATTACTACAGTTAGCATATATCTGAATTACTGATGTTTCACAGTGGCAAAGAATGGAGAGCTCCACCTGGGTATTTGAATGGGTTGTTGGTCATGAACACAAGTAGAAAATGCACATCTTTCTGTGAGTATTTATTGTAGGCTGATAACTGTGGGGTGTTTTTGCATTTACAAGATGCCATATTATTGGTGGCTGTTGTCTCTAAAAGGTTAGCATTTGCTTTGAAGGTAAGACATGTTAGAAGTAAAGATACCTATGAAAAATAAAGAAAAACTGTGGAGAGAGGAGCAGCAAGTGAGTGTCATAGATTAAAGGTAATTAAAGTAAAGTGATGGCCACACAGAGGTGACAGCTGTAAGGAGGATTAGATATCACGGTCAGGCAGGGATCTAGTGATGGATCCATCACTGGAAAAGGGGAACCAATAATGAAAGAATGCAGAGAAGCTCTACAGGTGGAAAGAGTGGAATGAAAGGAGCTTTTCACTACATGTAATACCGTAGAGGCAAATGATGGCCAAACCATAGAGCTGTGTGTGTCTCTCTGTGTGTGTGTGTGTGTGTGTGTGTAGACATTTATGATAAGAGTAATCCTTCTGGACCTCTAGAGAACAATAATTATATTTCCCTGACATTAGCAATGATTACTCTCCATATGTTTATAGTGACACTGATGGATATCCTGAAATATCCATGATGTGATCAACAGTCTTACTCTTACCTCATGAACCATCTTGTGGTTCATGGCTACTGATGCTTTTGTGGCCATTGGCATTTTTGTTCTTTTCATTCCTCCTCATGTTCAGATGGCCACCAACAGATTTGGTGCCTGGACCAAAATCAAACATCTGAAAATATAATTATACAAGAACTGACAGAATAGTAATGTGACCAAAACAAAATCATTTTTAATGGTAATTGGATAAATGACTGCAGATTGCTATTCTCGGAGATTCATTAAAGCATTTCTGTGAGTACATCAGTAATAATATGCATTTGTCTCTTTTTATTTAAATGTTGTGTTTGGGCCTGCGTATAGTGCTGAATGAATATTTGTGAGAAGAATGAAATAAATGTTTGCATAAACCACTCATATTTTAAGTATGTGAAGGAAGTTTTTTTTATTGCTCATTTAGTCAGTAATCAATTATGAGTGCCTGCTATATAGGGGCACTATCAGGAGTACTAGGGACAAACAGACAAATAAAATACAGTGTCTGTTCATAAAAAGACAATTAAAATACAGGGTAACAATCATCCTGATGGCTCTGTGTCCACAGCAGGCTCCTAATCTTGTTGGCCAGGCAGGGCTTCCAAGAGGAGTCTTGCAGATGCTGAGAGGGAGGGAGGTGATCCAGGGGAATAGTTATTAATAAAAGTCCAGAGGAAATTTCAAGGGAGAGAATGCAAAGATGAGATTATGAAAACTGGAATACGCTAGGAATGGTGGTTCGCACCTGTAATCCCAGCACTTGGGAGGAATGCTTGAGTCCAGGAGTTTGAGACCATCCTGGGCAACATGGCGAAACCCTGTCTCTACCAAAAATACAAAAATTAGCCAGGTGTGGTGGTGCATGCTTGTAATCCCAGCTACTTGGGAGGCTGAGGTGGTAGAATCGCTTGAGCCGGGGGAGGTGGAGGTTGCAATGAGCGCCACTGCACTCCAGCTTGGGTGGCAGAGCCAGACCCTGTCTCAAAACAAACAAATAAACAAAAAGCAAAAACTGGGGAAAGAAAGATCAGCTCAGATAGGAGTCCATACCACATTATTAAGGATTTTGGCTTTTTTTTTTTTTTTGAGACAGTTTCATTCTGTCACCCAGGCTGGAGTGCAGCAGTACAATCTCGGCTTACTGCAACCTCCGCCTCCCGGGTTCAAGTGGATTCTCCTGCCTCAGCCTCTTGAGTAGCTGGAATTACAGGTGCGTGCCACCAGGCCTAGCTAATTTTTGTATTTTTAGTAGAGACGAGGTTTCACCATGCTGGCCAAGCTGGTCTCAAACTCCTGACCTCAAGTGATCCACCCGCCTTGGCCTCTCAAAGTGCTGAGATTACAGGCTGGCCAGGCTGGTCTCAAACTCCTGACCTCAGGTGATCCACCCACCTTGGCCCCCCAAAGTGCTGGGATTACATGTGTGAGCCACTGCGCCCGACCTAGATTTTCGCTTTTATCTTGAAGATTATAGGGAGTTCCTTGAATAGGTCTGAGCTTTGGAAAGATCTCCTTGGCTAAGGCGCATGACAAATGGATTGAAACAGAGCAAAGCTAGAACCAGTAAACTCTTTAGGAGACAGTTACAGTAATTCAGTCAAGAAATAAATCACTGACCTAAAATAGTGGCAAAGGGATGGAAAAAAGTAGACTCTGCAGGACTGGATGTATGGGAAAGGTAATGTCAAACACTTCAAGATTGTCAGCTTGGGCAGCAAGGTGTATAGGGCTGCTGGTCACTGAGCCAGAGAAGACTGGGCCAGGAGCAGGTTTGAGTAGGGCATTGGCTTAGGAAAGCACTGAGCATGTTTAAATACTAAGGAACTGGTAGAAAAGGAAAACATTTTTTCTTAAAAATATTACTTAATAATTGCTCTTAAAGAAGAAAACCCTTAATTTTTAGAGATATATCTGCATTTTAAATCATATTTATATTCCTTTCTTCTTCCTCTTTCCTTCTTCCTTCTTCCTTCCTTTCTTATCTTCTGGTAGAGAAGATTAATTTTATGTGGACCTAAGTGTGATTTATAAACTTCTGACTGTAAAGATTAAACACATATAAACATCAGCATGAGTGTATTTACTATAGCTTATCATTATACAGATGACAGCACCAAAGTTCAAAATGACAGCTGATAGTGTCCATCTAGAATTTATTTCTAGCAGCATGTAGCTAATAGCAATGGAGCTTAGAGGACATAAGACCACATTAACATAATTTTCGAAGAATGAAATAACAGCATTGACTTTCTAATATATTTATGACTGTATTTCTGGAGTTTTTGATTGCTTATAAAGTGATTTTGTTTTCCAAACAAAAGTAGGGCAAGATTGAAAACTTGAAAATAATTCTCCCATTTTCCAGAGAGAACAAATGATACATATTCAGGGTATTTATTTCAGTATGAATAATATATGAAGGATCATAAATAATTCTTTATACCTTGAAGTGTATAGATACATTTACTCTAAAGAGATCCTGAAATAAAACCCAAGTGAATGAAGTTGGACAATGAAATTCAAGTTCTTTTTGGAGCTCTAAGTTTTCCGTCTTTGAAATAAAATGAATTTAGTCTATGTATCATTCCATAATTGTAGTGCAACTGTTCTTGACTAAATGCACACTCATCATGCTGTTTAAAGTAATCATAATACCATATTTTACAGTAACTCTCTGATGTCGGTGCAACACAACTGGAAGAGCCTAGTTGATTCTGTGTTTCAACACAGTACAAGAAAATCAGTTATCCTCATAATAAATCAGGTTTAATTGGTAATTCTAAAATAAATACTCATATATGCTCTAGTTGAACCAGCATCAGATATTTAGTTTGAACTTAGGTTTGTTATTGACTGATGAATGCCTGGCTGCTGCCTGGAAGTGTATTTTCAATGTCTATGTCTCTTGCTTAATTTCAAATGTCATATGTGTGTATTTTGTAGGGAAAGTAGGATTTTAAAATATTTTGAAATCAATAGATTAAAATATTTGAGTATAGGATTACACAGAACTGAGCTCTGTGTTACAGTTGAAGAAATCTTTTGGTAATGACAAATGTATCAAAACATTTAAATCCATGTGTTGAAGCCCAAAAAAGTTTATGAAGGGTTGTTATTTCTCTAGAACCTCTAGGGTGAGTATACAAACTGAACATATAAATATATGTAGCTTAATGCCTGTGAACTTTCAAAGGAAAACACTGGCCAAATGCTAATAGAAATAAGTAGTAGGAAAGGATAAATGAATATTTATTTTCTACCCTTAGTCATGAATAGTTCACTGGATCTTTGTGAACTTTGAATTTGCTTAATAGTAAGACATTATTTGGGGAGGTTGATTATAAATGATCATTAGTACAATACTCCCATTTTTCTTGTCTAGATGCTCAAGCAGTGTGTCTAACTACCATGGCATGTGAGTCCTCTTTGATAGATAGATAGGTCTGGACAACCATGGCGTGCAACATATAGAACCTAGCCAGGCAGCTTTCTCTCCAGCCTACCATGAACAGTCACACCTCTTCTAAGATTGTTGTTCCTGTGGGCACCAAACTTTGCCCATTAACTGATCTATTCTCATGCTATGCATCATTTATTTTAAAATCACCTTAACTGAGTACTTTTCAGATTATCTCGATCAGCTGGTTGCCAGATGGAAACTTACTACAAGTGTTTATAAATTATACTCTGGCTTAGGCTTCAAAAAATAGCTATTACAGCCAGATTATAATGAAGCCCCCATCTTGCTTTTTTATTTTAATCACTTGACCCTCTCTTCAAAAAAGCTGTGGGGAAGCCCCTGCTTTAGTAGTTCATCAGTTTGGGGGGATTCTGTACACACATATTTGTCTTCAAAATAAGTAGGAGTGCACAGTGACTAAATTGTTTTATTCACATTGCATTTCAAAATCCAGTCCGATGTGATAGAACATAGAATTAGTCAAATGGCCCTTTAGGCTTGCTTTGGCCACCCTACACTTCTGTCCTCATAGTCTCTTTAATGTCAGTCAGCGACATTTATTGAGTGCCCACTTTGTGTTGGGCATTGCGTGGAGTAGCCTTCGGAAAGCTATGCAAGCTGTTAGCACTGTTTATTAAAGAATGTTGTCCTTTATGTACCAGAAGTCAAGAGGCAGCAGTGTGGAATGAAAATAATAGCTGGAAGGAATGTAAAATTAAATTGGTTAATTGATGTTTGTGGGCACATGAATAGCTTGGCAATATTCATTTTGATTAATCTGTGTAAAGCATAAACAGTAAAAGTCATTTATATTGACCTCAATTAGAAAAATTATGCCACAAGTCCATATAGGGAATTTAGTGTAGATCCATAAGTTATGCAACAGTTTCCCTGATTGATCAGTTATAAACAGGGCCAATTTGTAAAAATCATGATGTGTTTAACTTTTAGTCAAATAAATTGTATTGAATGTACCCAAACACGGAAGAAAATAGCATGCTGCCTTGCTTATTGCACAGAATGTTCCAATTTTCTTTCCACAGGTCAGTAATTCCCAAAGACAGGAGAACTTGTCCTTGGATTCATGTGACTATGTCGGCATCGAGAATTCTGCATGCAATAGGGATAACCAAAGATTAATTTAATTAGATAAACGCATTTGAGTGAAACAATCGGTCTTGAATTATAGCTGCCATGATCAAAAACAAGGAGAAGGGCAGACAGTAATCGAAGCAGATTTCTAAATTCAGCAAAGGTAACATAGATCTTACATATTAATGATGATCTGAAAAATATAAAGTATTGACTAAATATCACGTTAGGATAGTTTTTTTGCACATGATAGTTTAGTTTAAGAGAAACTCTACATGACCTTTTTAAATTTGTGTGATGTTCTTGAATAATCCTTGGATCTTGGAGGAGAGAAAAAAATTTAATTCAATGACTCTGAGTGAAACATTCTGATTTGCCACTTTAAAGACTCATGGCAATTTTTTTTTCAGTCTTTTTAATATGATAGCACTAGCCCTTTAAGAATAAATTAATCGGCCGGGCCCAGTGGCTCACACTTGTAACCCTAGCACTTTGGGAGGCCGAGGCAGGTGTATCACTTGAGGTCAGGAGTTCAAGACCAGCCTAACCAACATGGTGAAACCCTGTCTCTACTAAAAACACAAAATTAGCCAGGCGTGGTGGTGCACGCCTGCAGTCCTTGCTACTTGGGAGGCTGAGGCAGGAGAATCACTTGAACCCAGGAGGCGGAGGTTGCAATGAGCCAAGGTTGCGCCATTGCACTCCAGCCTGGGCGACAAGAGTGAAACTCCGTTTAAAAAAAAAAAAGCATAAATTAATCGAAACATTTGAAGGAAAATAAAACTAGCTTACACAGTTGATTTGCAAAGACTTGTCTTACAAAGTCCTATAAAGCTGTCCTGCAAAGCCAGTTTGGGAGAGTAAGAATGTTTCCAGGCGACAGTTAGTTTACAATTGTGACATGTAAAAGATGTGGCAGGGTGTAAGTGAGGCTAATACTCAGCAAAGGTGGAATAAGAGTGAAATGGTCCTCACCTTGAAAAAGAGCTCCTGGATATTAACAAAGAGTCTGTCATATGCCACAGTGGTGTTTTCATCCTCCCTGTGAGTCTGTCAGGGAAACACTACTGAGCAAAGCCAGCCCAGAGAGTGAGAAACCATGTGATTCCTATCCTTTTTTTCCCCATGCAAATGGACTAAATAGGTGATCACCTTCAACTATGGCCTTGTGTTAGGTGTGTGTTCAAATGTTACATATTCTGTGTCATAGAAGTGAAAAACTTCAGAGCTGGAAGGGATCCAACAACCATCGAATCTAATTTTCTTTTTTAAAAAACAGGAAAATAGAAGCTCAGATTTGATAAAGGTTACAAAAGTCCACACAGAGAAATTCATAGTGGGATCAAAACCTGGGATTAGTAAATCCTAACTAAGAGGTCTTCTCAAAACTTCACTTCAGGAGTTGTGATCTATCCCTTTAGGTTAAATTATAGAACTGAGACAGTTATTTCTTCTCCAAGGTGTTAGTTTCCTGATGGTTCTGTAATCATGATTTCTTATTTAAAAGGTGAAATTTAAAACTGCAGTGAATGATTTTTAGATTTGCTGTCATAGGGACTTCAGCAGCAACTTTCAGAAGATTAAAGCTGAGAGGCTAGCCTTTGTTCTCAGTCCTTAATCGCTTTTCTCTTATGATGGATTTGAAACACAGCAATACAAATGAAATAATAACAGTAAAAGGGCCTGGGAATTTAAGAAGATATTGCAAATATGTCACGTCATGGAGGCTTTGAATTTCACTTTCTAAGTCATGTATCAAATTCAAGTACCCTGCTCTAAGTGTGGTCAAACATGCAAATATTTGCTTTCTGAGTAATTTGCCCTAATGACTTTGAAGCATTTTTGAAAAACAGTGGTGACATTGTTCTGCCCTGGCAGAAAGCATATTCCTTGTCAGATGTCCACAGAGATCCCGACTGTCTACTGGCAGATTATTAAAGGATGGTGCTGCATTGTATTTGCTAAGCTTTCCTTCAGTTTGACAAAATGTTATGTATATAGGTTGTCACATCACCCAAGCTTCTGTGCCAGACCTGTCTGGCAGCCACCCTTGGTTAACCACTGGAAGATAGAACTAGAAACGTTTTAACTTCTGAAATAAGGTCCTCTTCTACAGACCCCTTACACTTTTATTTTTTATTAGAAAGTATCTGATCGTCGGCAAAGTTTGAAGTGATCACACATAGGCAGCTGCTCATAGGAAATTCTGTTTTCACAGCTATGATGTTTTCCAGGTTCCAGGTTGGTAATTTAAATCTGTTCAGCCAGAAAATAGGAAATTTCAGCCATCACAGTAGCACCAGGTGTTTGCATTTGTCTTTCCTTGGCCTGTCCCTGTTTGGACACTAAGCTTTAGCAGTGGGGTTCAGGGATCACTACATGGCATATTTGGGACAGTGCTAATCATAGGAGTATGGATATTATATTCACCAAGCAGAAAGTTTCTTTATTGGAGAAAGCATGAGATGATTTCCCCGAGATGAAGAAAAAGAAAGAGGGGGGTAGAAGAAAACAAATAACTAGTTATTTAGGGAAAGTGTATTCCAACAGTTGTCAGCATGTTACTTGGTTGGTTCATACTCTCAGTGGTTTTTTCGTTCTTAACAAAGCACTGTAATTTCTTTTCTAGGAAAATTTACCCCAAATGGTGTTAACCTTTTTTTCAAAGGCCAAAAGGGAGGTTTATTGAAAATCTGGAAAAGAAATTAAATATTTGTCACACTTAAATATGTTTAAAATTATTAAATCTGTTTCTGTTAATCTGCAAAAAAAAAAGACGTTTAGGTCAGTGTAGTCCAGTTAAATATTGATATTATGAATTGCGTCCCTATCTGTGGTTGTCTTTTATTCATTTACCTCACAAACATGTAATACTAGTGTGCATATTTAGGTATGGGAGGACATTGGTCAGAGAAAACAGGTATATCTTGTAAAGAGCGAGAGCTGATAGTAGTCACAACCTTATTCAAAAAGATATTAACACAAAATAAGGGACTAATATCACAGGTGTAATGAAGACTTGCAAGAGAAAGGAAAGCTTTAAAATTAAAGGCATGGCGGTGGAATGGGTATTGTATTAATGAGACAGAAAGATGCCAGGAAACAATTCGAGCTGTTAAAGCACAGCAAAATTATTCATCTAGCACCTAGGGGCATCTCCTGAATCTGCTGTGGTTAAATATTCCTTTTCCATGTGTAAGTACAGAGTTTCAGACCTCAGCTCCAGAATGAAGTGAGGAGGCTAGAGATAATTTTTAAGGTTTACAACCAGTGTTTTAAGTGGACATAATTCTATTTTGAAGATTCTATTGAATGTTTTTAAAATAGTACACTAATTCCAAAAGTGTGCGTGGGGGAGTGCATCTCTTTCAATAGCTGGAAAAATCTTGGTTGGCATTCTTTGTTTTGGGTTTATATTCTGAATAAAATAGTTCATATATGTTCAAGAAGAAGCACGTATTATAAGACTTTGTGGACCACAGACCTTCTCCAAGTTCTAAGAACCTTATAGAAGGAGACAAAAAAGTTAAAACCACATCTTAGTAAAAGAATTTATAAGTACACCATTAAACATCATAGCCTACTTAAATACTACAGAACATGGTTCAAATATGTGGAAAATTTGATGAGAAACTACCATATTATGATGAATCGTTAGTCTATATAAAATTATTCAGGAAACATGAAAGGCTTTGCTTGATGTATCCCAGCCAACAGTCTAATCTTGTCACTGATTTTGAAGCATCATCTTTCTGAATGCTTTCACTTAAAACTTTAACATTTAAAAGGTTTAGATTTCATGTTCCTTTTAACATGAATGGAGAAATGAGCCCCCTTCCATTGTTGTCATAATATTTTTGGTTCAGTCAGTAATTTGTAAAACATGATTTTAAGAGATGCCTTCACCTATAGCTGGGAAGTTAAAGTAATTTCACTGAATACTGGCAATGCCTCTCAGAAACTGGATTGTAAGGATAGGAACTTTATAATAAGCAAGATACTTGAGGCTCATAAACGCTGGAATGAAGAGTTATTCAAAACCAGATTGACAAAAAAGCAGCGTGGGGCCCTGTGGAAAGCAACAATACAAAAATGTCCCTCTTGGATTTGAGTGTTTAGGGATTTGTGAACTCAAATCTGAGAAAGGTATTTCAGGAATGTTATTTTTAATTTTTTTAAAAAAAATAATGGCAAATGGTTTTTAGCTTTAAAAAAAAATGACATATTGGAAAGGAAAATTCTAGTCTATCAAATGTAATATGGTTAGTTTCTAAATATCTTCCACATCCTGTTTTCCCCAAATAATTGCTTCCAATTCAATACTTTTTTTAGACATTTAATATTTAATTTATAGCATGTGGATGGATAATATAAAATCTAAGTCTGGACCCTGCATTGAGTAGTTTAAAATGATTTGCAAAATAAGCTGTATGTACATGCAAATAACAAATGAGGAAGGATAGGACTAATATTCAAATAATTATATATAATAATATTTATATTAATATATTTTATATGGTTTTTAAACTATATACTACTTAAACTATATAATATATAAAAATTTATATATAAATATATAGTTATAAATATATATATATATAGTTTTAGAGGAAACCCTAATGGAGGAATAAAGCTTAATCCATATTAGTCCCTCACAAAGCTTTGATTTGATCATAATTAGCTTCATACAGCATATCTAATGTATATTTGCTATGCTCATCTCAGTGGGAAACAATTTCTTTCAAAAACCTGTAATATGATTTCAAAGATTGGATGGTGTTGAAAGCCATCTTGATTATTGTTTGTAAAGCTGGGGAAAACATTTTCAAAATACTAAAAATTAAAACGAATTATAAATGAATCAACATGTTTGCTCTCATGTGGCACAATCATGAATAATGACAAACTACACAATTATAAAAACCAAAACTTCTATACCAGTGTCAGGTGAGCCATTTGATGGATGTGTTTCCATTGAATATTACATGTTAAAAGAACGGTAAAAGGATGGCTAATTGTTTTCTGTAACAATAATGAGAAAGAGTATACATAAACCAAGTAGTTTCCACTTGGTGGAAGCAATTACAAAAATAATTTTTATCTGTTTTGCTGATAAAGCAGATTCATTAAAATATTTAGTATTGTGTGAATAAGAGACAGAGAAGAGGGAAATAGAAAGATTCAAAGGCATTCATTGAGTAATGCAAAAATTCTCATATGTAGAGACATTTTACCCAGCAGGAACTTAAGTCCATGTGTGAGGCAGGCTGCTTGCATGGTGAAAAACAAAACAACACCGCCCCCTCCCCTGCTCTCTGTCTGCCTCACCCCCCTCACTCCATTGACATGCATAGCTGGCCTGGTAGGTGTAAAAATAGACTGGCAGCGCCTGCACTGGAAATGGTCACTGAATGCAGCCTGCAGTTGCCGGGGGTTTTGAGTTCTCTCTGACACCAGCAAGCCAGCTAGCAGATGGGGAGAACTGGTGAGGGGCGTGGAAGGGAACTGAGCAGAGGAGCCAAGGATCATCTTGATGAATTGCCCACATTAGTGTACCCCTGGGAGCCCTGGACAGAGTGCAGAGGGCAAGGACGGGCCCACTGACAGCAGGAACTGTAGAGCTGAGATGGGGAATGCAGCCCTCTGCTCTTCTTGCCATGCGGATAAGAGCATAAGAGCACAAGGAAACATGCAGGAACTGGATAAAACCCCAGACTACTATGGCTGTAACAGTGAGGACGTCAAAGAACCTGGAGTGTGGGTAAGTTTTAGGCCACAAAGGAGGAGGAAGGGAGGATGGTGGCATAAGAATCAACAGTAGACCTCATTGGTCAGACCTCTAAACTTCCTGGAAGGAAGCTGACAGAATAAAGCCAATGTGATCAAACCACCTGACTACCTCTGATCAAGTGGCATGCTTTTGCTTCCTCTTCATGTTATGCAATGCCACATGTTTGTTTTTTCTCGGTTGTCTTTAACTCTGAGCTGACATTTGGGAAAGAGCAATGACACTGTCTCTTTAATTTGGAATTTTGTCCAAAGGTGGACATACGTATTATTATAGAGTGACTTTCAGCAATATTGCAGAGATTCACTTACGTTCAGTCTGTCAAATTCTTTCGCCTATTTATTCATGTATAGTTCGTTTCTCACTAAGTCACAGAGCATTTTTTTAAGCATATGCTCCCTTAGTATCCCAGCTCCAGCCTAAAACAGTATTTCCCTCTAATATTTGACTAACTTCAGTGAAGAGGTCCTTAAATGCTTTTCTTGTTATGATAGTAATAGTTTGTAAAAAGGCTTAAACGTTAAGCAATTAAATAAGATTTATTTTTTTAAATCTTTATTAAAATTTTATTTTTTAAAAACTTCAGATTTTAATAATTCATAGGCATGATGTGTTCCTTAAAATGGGTACAAAGGCTTATTGTGATTTTTTTTTTTTGGCCAGGAATCTCTGAAATATTTGGATTTTCATATTTGCTGGAGAATAAAGTTTATCTTTTATCTGTCAGATCCAGGAATTTGACCACCTTATTGCAAGTTATTTATTTGCATGAAAATAAATAGCTGGTTGCATGGTTTGGCTGCAACTATGAAACTAAGATATGTAGGATTTCTGAGTAAGAGAGGCAGAGGCGTTTGTACTTGTTATGTACTTGCCTGATATTTCCAGGAGTGAGAACAGGGTCTGAAGCATAGGAGGTGGTGCTCTGCTCTCTTTGGCTTTTACTCTGACCTGAAACAATGTCATCATTTCTTAGCACTGAAACTCTGTCAGACCATAGTGAAACTAAAACTAAAACTAAGAATTTATCAACAAAAACAACATGAAGGGCAAATATTTGCAGTTGGCAGTGAACAGAAAGCCCTGTCGTGAAAAAGAGGACAGTAGTTCCAGCATGGAGGTCACCGTAGTCAAAAACGAAGAAAAAAAAAGGTGGGGAGGGAGGCCGTCCCAGGGAAGGGAGATCACCCACCGTTAACAACCGCACAGGCGAGGTTTGTAACCAAGAGCAGTAACGTTTCTCCTGGATTATGGTTTCCACTACCCACATCCACCCAGGAGAGCCGCTCTGGACTTCTCAGAGCAGTCACTTCTAATGCAGCTTTCTGAACTGAGGGGACAAAAAGTATCATTACTACTAGTTCAGGACCACAAAAATGAGTGTATTTTTAAAAATGTACAATGTCATTTCTCTGAATTAATTAATATAGCCTGTTAGTCATTTAATAAAATCTTCTGCTAAAGGTTTTATAGACTGGAGCATATCATGATTGGTGTGACATTGGAAAGGTGTGGTAGAGGTGGAAGTGGACCTGTTTTCTACCTTCAGAAATGATATTCTGCCCAGAATTTTTCCACTTTGGCCATGGAGAAAAAGAAAAAGTTAATGTTTAACTTAATACCAAGCATGACTTAAGCAAAATATGTGGTTCTAGGTAGTTTAAGTTGGACTTTATGTCTTCCAAATGAGAATGTAAGACTCACAAACATATGTCAGGGTTTTCCTCTGAAATGAGCTTGGCTTTTACGTAAATCCTTAAAGGACCAAAGATCTGCTCTTATCACAATTGGCTTGGCAGCTCCAAAAAAGAGGAAGCATGCAGGACAGGACAGAGTGAAGAACAAAACTCAGCTGTTTTTAAATTTTTATTTAGTCCTGGTAATGCTTCTAAATTTTTAATCACAGAGGGGAAAACTGCGTCATCTCATTATTTTTCCATGTTCATGTATGCAGATGACTGGTGGGTGTATTCCAAGTTCACTTGTGAAAGAAGCAGCTCTTGGAGATGCCTTACAGACTTTGCCCTGGATCCTAGGGTAGCTCTGACACAAGTCAGCAAGGCCTTGTTAGGGTCCAAGTAGGCTCCAGAGAGAAGGATTCTTGACCATGTTTTGATAAAGTGCTATTTAGAACAGCATAAAAAATGTATCTTTATTTTATGGTCTTCTTTTGGCTTGTATTTTTGTGATGATATCATTTATAAATTTGCATATTGGTCTAAGTATACTCTGTATTTTTCTTGCATTGAGATCATGTATTTCTATTGTGGTTTCCTTAGCATAACAAATTAATTTGCTTTGTCCCAAGAGCAAAACCATAGATGCGATGCTTTAATATAGACATTTTTTAGGTTACCTACCCTAGCTGATTTTCAAGTTATCACATCCTTCTTTTTTTTACCAGTTTACTCTCAGAGATTTTTATTTTATTGCTTCATTTATTTTTAACAATTTTTCCCAATTGTAGTAGAGATTTTCAGGTTTTTCGTATGAGCTTTTTCATTATTCTATAAATGTTCTTATTACTTTAGACCATGAGCATGAATTCTGGTCTTATTATGAAAACAATACTTTTCTGCTAGCTGACTCAAAAGGTAATAAGTCAATCAGCAAATGTTCACTGAGCTAGGTATAGTTTTGAATGCTGGCGATTTAACGATGACAAGACAGAGTTCCTGTGATAGCGGGAGACAGACTTTCAGCATTTATATGGGGGGATGAGGAAGCATGGTGCCTAACTGAGAGGGAAATGTACTGGGAACGTTCAAGGGACGGAAGGATGGTTAGCATGACTGAAATGTAGTGATCAAAGAAGAGGACGGATGGCAATGAGGTATGAGAAGCAAGCATGGGCCTACCTTGGCAAAAGTTTGATTTCTTTCTGAACATAATTGAGTCTTGGAAAAGGACTTGAGATTTCATTAGAAGCACAGTGGGAAGCCTCTGGAGAGCTCTACACCAGGAAATGGTAGAACTTCATTTATGCTTTGAGAAAAATCTCTCTCCCTTTCTCCCCATCTCTTCCTCCCTCCATTTCCCCCTCCCTTTCCTTGGTGAAGGATGAGTTGTGAATGCAGCAAGAGAAAAAGAAGGGAGACCAGTTTAACTGGTTTCAAGGTTTGCAGCCCTGAAGTGAACAAGGATGGAGGATTGGATTAGGATGTTAACAATGGAGGTGAGATTGTAATCAGATTGAGGATGTATTTTTGTTTTTATTGAAAGATTTTTGGGAGATTATAAAAGAAATAGAGGGGTGTGTGTGTGAGAGAATGAGTGAGATGATTCCTTATCTATGAAGCATATCAGTATGTCAAAAGAGTTGAGTTAAACTTTCCTTCAGTTTTGAACTCTAAAAGAATATAAATTAGTTTAAATGGTATAGTATTGTCTTCCGTAAAAGTTTTATAAAAGATAAGGAAATTTTGTTCATATGGTTAGTTTTGATATTAACCCTAACAAGAGCCAAAAGTGTAATGGAAATTACTCTGGTAAAGCATTTCAAAAAATACAAAATGATTTAGATATGGTTATGTAACTTTTAGATGATTTATTTAAAGATAAAGGCCTGGCATGGTGGCTCGCATCTGTAATCCCATCACTTTGGGAGGCCGAGGCAGGCAGATCACTGGAGCCCAGGAGTTCAAAATAAGTCTGGGCATCATGGCAGGACCCTGTTTCTACAAAAAAATACAAAAATTAGCTGGGTGTGGTGGCACACGCCCATGGTCCCAGCTACTCAGGAGGCTGAGGTGGGAGGATCACCTGAGCCTGGGGAGGTGGAGGCTGCAGTGAACTTTGATCGTACCACTGCACTCCAGCTTGCGTGAGAGTGAGACCCTGCCTCAAAAAAAAAAAAAAAAAAAAAAAAAAGAAAGATTGAAAGAAGAGAAGACATGACTTTCATTCTCTAGGAACTTACAATCCAGTTTTAGAAACAGGGCTTACCCACATGTAATCAATTAACTATAAAAGGTAGTAGAGAATTCACTGGCTGCACGAGTGTTGAAATGAGCCATTATAGGATGCCCAAGAAGGAGGGGATCAGTGCAGGCCTCGGTGCTCTGGGAACACCTCGTGGACAGAGCTAATACTTAGCTGATATGGTGCAGATCAGCTGTACCACTTGTTTACAGTTTGAATTGCTTTCACACAGGCTAATTAAGCAGCTGTTACTATGAACCTACCAAGCTGCCCCTTCTGAGGCTAGCAGAACCCCATCCTCAGGATTTCCCAGCCTACTCCCATCCTCTAAAGAAGCAAACAAAAGAATAATGCTTGGACTCTCAAGGGGCTTCCAGGACCACCCTCCTCTAGTGCTGTGGCCAGTGTCCATTGGGAGTGGTTGGTGCCTGAGCTGAACTAGTTGTTAAATATTTTTAATATCCATCCTGCCAGTGGAGAAGGTGGAGCCTGAAGCAGATCTTGGGAGCAAAATACAATCTGGGTTCCTGTTGGGAAGAAAGTACACTTGTGCCTTCAGTAAGCATGTATTCAGCCAGGCATGGGCCTACCAAGATGAGTAGGACATGCAAACTTGGCTTGAAGGAGTGTAATCCAGGGATGGCCAAAGCAGGACTTTGAATATTGTGTTCCCATGTCCTGAGAAAGCACAGGGGATTATAGAGTACTTCAGGATGACAACTCAGCCTCAGAGGGTGGCAGAAAAGTTAAGTCCTGAAGCATTATGGGAAGTTCACACACTCAGTATTGGACTCATTAGAAAGACTGGAAAGCAATGGCTATAATACCATTTCTACTGGACATTTGTGGAACCCCCAAAATTTAGATGAGGCACATAGGCTAAGATTATCAAGAGATTCATAAGTCAAGATTTAGAATTTGAACTATATACTAGTGAAAGGCCATTGACCAAAGGCTGTTTTAGGAGAATCAATTAGGTTGTAGTCTGCATATCATAAGCTCTATTTTCTTTGAAGTTCCTACCAGCTAATAGGTACTTAGTAAATATTTGTGAAAAAAATGAATGAATTAATGACTAGGAAATCACCCAAAGTAGCAAATCTATTTATGGGAATTTTCCCACTACAGGTGACATGCCCCCAGATGAAACCAGAGGCCGCCAACATTGAAAAGGTGATGGAAGCAAAAAAACACTTCTAAAAACAGTAAAGACGTTGGTAACTAAGAAGTTTTAATTATAACCTTCTGCTCAAAAAAGGAATGTACCCTTACTGCAATTGCACACATTACTTGTTGTCGTAGTTCATTTGTGTAGCTACAAAAGAATACCCGAAGCTGGGTAATTTATAAAGAAAAGAGGTTTATTTGGATCACAGTTCTGCAAGCTGTACAAGAAGCATTGCACCAGCATCTGCTTTTGGTGAGGGCTTCAGGAAGCTTCCACTCACGGAGGAAAGGGTAGGAGAGCTGGTGTGTACAGAAACCAGGGGGAGGTGCCAGGCTCTTGTTAATGATCAGCCATCAGGGGAACTCTCATAGGAACTAATACAGCAAAAACTCACTCCTTATCACCAGAATGGCACTAAGCCATTCATGAGGGTCCACCCTCATGATCTAAACACCTTTTATTAGGCTCTGCCTCCAATATTGGGGATCACATTTCAACTTGAGGTTTGCAGAGTCAAATATGGAAACCACAGCATTGGTATAAAATATATGTATAAAACATATTTACTATAGAAAGTAGTAGACATTTTCTTGAATTGTTATTCTCTATATCAAGTTGTACATAAAATGCAATGGTTACATTTTAAAGAAATTTGGTGAAGGTAGGCTGGGCACCATGGCTCACACCTGTAATCTCAGCACTTTGGGAGGCTGAGGTGGGAGGATCACTTAAGCCCAGGAGTTCAAGACCCCCTGGGAAACATAGTGAAACCCCATCTCTACAAAAAAAAAAAAAAAAATTACTAGGTGTGCTGGCACACATCTGTAATTCCAGCTACTGGGGGGCTGAGGTGGGAGGATCACTTGAGCCTAGGAGGTGGAGATTGCAGTGAGCCAAGATTACACCACTGCACTCCAGCCTGGGTGACAGAGCAAGTCTCTGTCTCAAAAAAAAAAAAAGAAAAAAAAAAAAAAAGAAAAAAGAAGGAAAGAAAGATTACATTGTAATGTTAAGCATTATCTATTTATTTTTTTTATAATGAGGTATATCCAAACCAAGTATTTGTATTTACTTGAACTATGTAATAACTTTTGAATAATATCTCTTCTGCTATATTTAATAAGATTAGTTCCACTGTCCCTATAGTGGCTTTTTCAAGGTCGCCTGTGTGATGATGGAGCTGGGAATACTCTGGGGAGAGAGTCCTCTTTTCAGCTGTATTTTGCTTCCTTCCCACACAGACATCTGCTGTGCCTCTTACTCACTTTTAGTTGCTGTTTTGGATTTTATGCCCCTTTAATCAAAACTTATTATGCCACAAGATAGATTGACTTGTTTCCTGAATTCTTTATTTTTATTTAAGGGTTTCTCTGTGAAATCTTAGGCATATTATATCACATTTGATTGTCAAAATTTTACGTGTTTGATTTTTCAAAGCTGACCTTCATATCATATTTGTGTGGGCTTATGTGACTATAGTAAAACTTTTTTGTGCCTTTCTTTAATACTTCCTTATAAGAAGTATACGTGTAATTCCAGCAATTTGGGAGGCTGAGGCAGGAGGATCACTTGTGCCCAGGAGTTTGAGATCAACCTGGGCAACACAGGGAGATTCTGTCTCTATATTAATTTTTTTTTAAGTTTGATGGTGTGCACCTGTGGACCCAGCTATTTGGGAGGCTGAGCTGGGAGGAACTCTTCAGGCCAGGAAATTGAGGGTACAGTGAGCCTTGATTGTACCACTGCACTCCAGCCTAGGTGACAGGGCAAGATGCTGTCTCAAAAAAAAATAGTAAAAATCTTACAATGATTGACAGAAGTATAATAATTTCAATGGTGGCTTTGAGCTAATGAATTGTTTCTTAAAGCTATGTGAAAGCCAGCTGTGTAATAGTAGAGATTATAAATTGAAACTGTGTTTTTGATGAGTTTAAGTGTTGCTGACATACAGTTTATTTAAATTTCAGTCTTTTTTTTTTTCTGTACTCTTTACCTTCCTCAGTCATCAATGAGTTCCAAAAGGGGGCTTTGAAGTAAATCATAGATTCTGTTTGATACTGTAGGAATTTCCATATTCTAGTACAGCAACTCTATTAAATAAACACATTGTGTACTTAAATTGGATCTCTCACAAGTCACAAATAATATATTAGAACTAGAGCTGAAGTACCTTTATATTTGCTACTTTTGTGTCATACCTTTCTAGATTATTGGCTTTCTGAAGGATATTAGAAAGCATCTTCTAAGATACCTAGTAAAACAGAAGTACATAGAAAAATTTGTGAAAATCTTTCCTTTTTGAAAACCACTGGTTGTTACATATGAACTTTTCCCCAGAGTTACAAAAGAAAAAGAGTATTTTTCAGGAATAAAAGACATTTAACAATTTTATATTAGTAAGGTATATATTTCACAGATTTGTCTATACCATCTATAATACATAATCATTTCTTTTAAAAAATGGCTTATGATATTCAGCTTTTTATGCATTCTTACAGCATACATTTTGACAGACTAGATGATTAATGATGACATAGGATAAACTGTATTTGGGATTGTGTAATAAACACACAGTATGAAAAGTCTAGTTAATCCTTTATGTCAGCGCCTCCCAAAGTGTACTCTGTGAACTACCACATCAGAAGAATCGCCTGGTGTGTTTTTAAATGATGTAGATGGCTGAGCTTTACTCCAGACCTCCTGAGTTAAAATCTCAGAGGTGAGAGCCAAGAATATTTATTTAACAAGATTAAGCATAGTCTCTAAGTAACCCTTAAGTGCACTTAAGTATGATAACCACTGCTTTGTGTTGCAAGAGGCTGACTTTACTGAAGAGTCAGGGCTGAATATGTAACATCAGCACATAAGAGCATAAAAGTAGAAGAAACCCTTCACATTTTATTAAGCTTCTTCTTATCCAGGTTAATTCAATGTATTGCCAAAATTCTATTTAGAGGCAATTAAAGTAGCTGAGACCACATGGGACATGTGGGAATGGAGGATACTCTGCCAGCAAATGGGCCCTTCTGCATTTCATATGCATCACCTTAAAAGTAAGAAAATATCTGTGCTGTATCACCATAAAGTTTTAAACCATAACACTTAGAATAAATTTAAGTTTCACTTCCAAAAACTAATAATTACTGTGTACCTATATAGAGTCCTTTTATTCATTGTTTAACCTTGTCAATTTCCACTGGAAATCCAAGGAGTAAGGTACTATAAGACAATGTTATGAAAATGTGTCCCCAAATTTTTGAAAAGTCAAAATTTCATTCCATTGTTGAGCAGTCAGCTTGAACAGCAAGATTGTTCTGAATGATCTGATCCTTCCTTGGAATTGAGGGCTAGTACAATATCTTGGCTGAATCCCACACTCCTGCTTAAAATGTCACATAGCACATGAGAGATGATTAACAAAATTCTTCTGGCCTCACTAAAAGTTCTTAATATATCGACTAATGTGAAGTGTATCAAATATTAGATACTCTCTATATTTTAAAATTATATATAAATCTGTAGAATTAATTATTCAGTAAGTTTCTTTCAAGAAAGTAAATAATGAATTCTGTAAGTCTACATGTTCTTTATTCTTGTTTTGTAACATATACATAGATTGAAGAATCAGTCTTTCCTTTGGTATTGATTTGTCGTACCCACCAATCAATTCTTTAAAGAATTAAGCAGTGATCTAGATGGACATGCCAACTGCCATTCTTATTTTAAATGTAACCCAGGCAGTTACAGCTACATGCCAAAACCTACCCATAGACACTGTCAACTAATGGACTGGGCTGCTTCCTGGCCCATCTTGGTCTTAACCACTTCATCTGGCATTGGGACCAGATCTATTCTACCCAGGATCACAAGATAACTTAGAGGTGGAAAACAAGAAGGAAATAAAAAGTAAAGACAGTAAACACATAAAAGAAATGTATGAATGTGTATAGCAAATTCCATATTAATTATCATCAATAATAGCTATCATTTATTGAGCCCCTATTATCTGCTAGATTCTGTAATGGCATACTGCATACCATTTCATTTACTACTGACATTAGCTTTGTGAACCGAGTATTAACATATGCCTTTATTGGATGCCTACTATTCCAATACACTGTTCTCAGGGGTTTATATATATGACATAATCCAATCCACATATTCTATACATTTTATATACTAGGAAATTGAGGCTTTTTTGAGTTCAGGTATTTCCTCAAGGTCACACAGCTCATGGCAAGTGATAGAACCAGGATTAGAAAGGCAGTTCTAAGTCCATTTTATAATGCTGGCTCTTTAAAGAAAGAGATACCTAAAAAAGGAGACATTGGAGAAATTTAAAGTGGGTTCTAAGATTTTCCACAATTGGAAGAAATTACTGACTTGGAAAATTTCAAATAAGATTGTTACTTATGACCCACACTAAAATACGTTTTAGGAAATTAAAAAAATTAAATGGAAGAAAAAAGAAACAATTTTTAATTAATAAATCTATAAGAAAATGAGAAATATTTCATTGACTTCAGGGTTGGAAAGCATAAAAGCAATGGAATAAGAATCTAAAAGTGGAACTTCATACTTTTTGATTTCTATAACAAGCTTGAGAAAATTTTCAAAAACAATGACAAAATGTTATCCTTCTATATAATATTAAAAAATACTTTTGAAACTCTAAAAGGACAAAAAGTGTGAATAGACAAATCAAAGAACAAATGTGGTAGACAATAAATATATGACTAAGTTTTCAAACTCTTCAAAAACGAAAAAGGCAAATGAAAACCACAATGATCTACTTATCGACTAAGCAAAGCAATTTGAGTTTATGATTGTGTTGAGGTGGTCTCTTTGGCAAACATTTGTAATGTCTTTTCAGTTAGCAACTTTCAATGCCTACAGTGTGTGCCAAAAATCTACATTCTTTGACACTGTTAATTCACTTTTAGGAATTTAAACAATGGACACAATCAAGACAGGGACAAAGATGTACATACAAGAGTTTTTATGGCAGTGTTGCTTAAAATAATGAATATTAAAGGCACCAGTTCTGTACAAATGTTTGGGAAATGCTAAAAACAATGATAATCTATCCATAGACTATTATATGATATATAAAATACCTTTTTAAACTTTTGTGTGGTATAGGCTATACTAACTTTGTAATGTTTATTTTTAAAAGTAAAACAGAATATTATTATTTCAACATCATGAAAGCATTACCTACACAAACGTATAGAGTATATGTAGAAAAATTCTTTTTTTTTTGTTTTTGAGACAGAGTTTCACTCCCATAGCCCAGGCTGGAGTGCAGTGACGTGATCACGACTCACTGCAACCTCCGCCTCCCGGGCTCAAGTGATTCTCGTGCCTCAGCCTCCCAAGTAGCTGGGACTACAGGTGCACGCCACCACATCTGGATAATTTTCTGTATATTTAGTAGAGATAGGGTTTCACCATGTTGCCCTAGAACTCCTGAGCTCAAATGATCTGTCTTCCTTGACCTCCCAAAGTGCTGGGATTACAGGCATGAGCCACAACACCCAGCCTTAATGTAGAAAAATTCTTGAAGAAAACACATCAAAATATGCAGTGTTAAGTTTGACTAATGGGATTATGGTTGCTAACCGTAATTTTGTTTTCTTTTATAGTCATTTTCAAATGTCCTATATATATATATATATTATATATATAAAATGTATGTGTGTGCGTGCACACTTTCACAGTAGAACATGAAATCATCATATATAAAAATATATGTGTGTGTGACACACAAACAGATTTGTCTACTTCCATTACATAAAGGCTAGGGAAGGCTATATTTTACATATATATCCTTTTTAAGAGAAGGGAGATTGTAAGAGCAAAAAAGGCATGAAAGGGCATAGACATTTTGTAGTTTTATACAAATACTTTTATGAAATAAGTATTTCTATGTTTCTTAAGGTTTTATAACCTAAAGGTTTTTTTTTTAATAATCCATGCTTTAATAGCTCTTCAATCAATTTGGGAGAGAAAACTTATTATGGGTTTCATTTCTACTACTTAGTTTTTACTGTGAAAAGATTTAGTGTTATAGTTTCTTAAAGGTGTAATCAACATTTAAACAGCAAGTATGGTGATTAATTAAGAACAGCTGAGAGAGGTTTCATCTATCTTGGAAGGGGTCCAGGTTTAAATCCCACTCAGGGAGATATGTCAATATGAGCTAGTAACAGTCTACGTGCTGTTATAGAAACAGAGGGACAAATGTTGTCTTTGAAGCCTACCATTGCTGTGAAGCTTAAAAAAATTTTTTTCTTTGCATGTTAATCATGATAATTTTGATAGAGATATTGCTCTGGATTCACTTACTGAGTATAATATTGACACACTCTTGAAATAATATAACCATACCCTTAAAAGTCACAGCTCTTGGGTTAGCAACATTAAAGAAAAGAAATCTTGGTATTCCACAGGTGGCAATGCCACATGGTTCAAACTTTGGGCCCTGCCCCTAACCAAAAAAGGGAATTGAGCATCAAGGGAGATCAGAACATGAGAGTTGAGCCAGGAATGTGACTGCAGTAGCTTCATCCCAGGCAGGAAGCAGCAGCCACTCCTATATGTCGGTCAACAGTGGAAAGGTATTTAGCACCTTTGGGGGAACTTGGGGAAGTAGTAATGAATGGTGGTCTCTATGGTAGGACTTACCAGTTATCAATTTCGGGTCTGCCACTTCTTACCCCAAAGTATACAGATGAATCATTTAACCTTATGAGACCTTGGTTTTCTCATTTGGGAAGCTTAAGAAGATTAAATAAGATTATAAATGTGCTTGGAATATAGTAAAGTTAGCTATTAATATTGTGGTAAAAGGTGTGAGAACAAAATATGTAAGGTGCAAGGTCTCATTCATTCCCTCAAGGAGCTGACAGTCTAGTTGAATAGCCAGAGGGTATACACAAAAGCAAATTGTATATTGTAGAGTCTCTTGAGTAGACAGATGACTTAAAAGAAAAAGCAAGTTTAGATGGCATGTAGCATCCTAATTTGATGTTATGTCAGTCCATGTTGTGTAGGAAAAAATTCAAACATTTCAGTGAGGAATCACTGAAACTGAATAAATACATATGAATCATGTAAAAATGAAGAATTGCCTTGCTTGCTCAATGCACCTTTTAGCAAGTGTTTATCTTAAGACATAGTGAACATCAGTATAAACCCAATCAAAACACATATGAGTAATTCTCTTACTTGAAACCATGATCAGAAGAGATGGCTTTTGGTCAGACCAAATCTTTGTCATGACTACATTATTAGTACAAAGTTAATAGTTATATCTATGAAAAAGATGTTATCAGTGGAGGAAACTCAATTACTAATATATCCTATGATTATCATATGTGAAAAAAAAATAAACCAAATCAAAGTGGAGCATCTCCAGCTGAAGGCAACTCTATCTTGGTGGAATGCCACAGGGTTTTAAGGTAGACCCAGGTTCTCACCACGCTGCACATTATATGCTGGGCTCCCATTTTGAAGGTTGCCAATGAGAAATGGCACAACCTAAACACCTTTTATTTGAAATTCTTAACATCTCGTAGTTTCACAGTCTTGCCCTTTAATTACTGAGACAAGGGTAGCCTGCTACCCTGTTCTTAGTCAGGGTTAGAGATGAGGTATCTATGGTGTTAATTTGGCATTTCAACTAAGTTAAATTTGGTTAATGAACAAGATCTTTCTGGGTACAGTTTACTGCTTTGCCAAAAAAAGTTCTGTTATCTTTTCATATATCCCACAATAATCTAACTCTTCTTTAAGTGATTTTTGAAGTTTATTTTTTGAGTAATTAAAGCTAGCGTAATTTGTATTTATATTAACTGTTGTCAGCTTTACATAAAAAAAGGTAAGGTAATATCCTCCCCAGGGTTCTGTTATCATAGTAATCATCATTATTGGCTGATATATTTTAGGCACTGAATTAGGTTTTGGGTATTCTAAGAATTATAAGGCATGGTTTCCACCTTCAAGTAAATTGAAATTTTGTTCTGGAAGTAGCATATATGACTTCCTCTCTCTCTCTTTCTCTTTCCTTCCACACACACACACACACACACACACACACACACACACACTAGTTTATATTATATTACAGGTAGATATTTGTGTAAAAATGTATATGTAAAATGAAATATATAGACTCCCTATGACTGAAGAGAGATACATTTTATATACATAGTAATTATAAAGAAAACAAACTTTCTCCTTCGTATCTTGGCCAGAATAATTTTGACATACCAATGATCTCTTTTATTTAGAAGGTTAATTAATCTTACTGTAATTACAGGGGATACTGAAATATATTACTGCATGTTTTACATTAAAAAATACTGAGTAGTCAGTAATTGCCCTTTCATGGATAATTTATACAATAATTAAAGCTTATATATTGCTTCACATAAAATCTTTTTCCTCACAGAGAAGAGTAAAATTATAGTTTCTTATTTCTTTATTTTTTTTTTCTTTTTGTTGAGATGGAGTCTCGCTCTGTCACCCAGGCTGGAGTGCAGTGGCACGATCTCGGCTCACTGTAAACTTTGCCTCCCGGGTTCAAGTGATCTCTTGCTTCAGCCTACTGAGTAGCTGGGATTATAGGCACCCACCACCACGCCCGGCTAATTTTTATATATATATATGTATTTTTGTAGTAGAGATGGGGTTTCACTATGTTGGCCAGGCTGGTCTCAAACTCCTGACCTCAGGTGATCTGCCTGCCTCGGCCTCCTAAAGTGCTGGAATTTCAGACGTGAGCCACTGCACCTGGCCTATAGTTTATTTCTAAAAAAAGAGTACTAGTGTTCCTATGTAGTTAATATCAGCAAGAATCTAGTTTCTTTCTGTATTTAATTTATTTAGTAATGTCATAATTGTCATTTATCTGTTAACCTAATTAAAGTTAGAGAATGTCGAGCTGCAGAGCCTGTCTAGTCAAGTGTATTACTAAATTCATTAGTCATCCATGACTTCAGCTGTATGATAGTAATGATACAGACACACTTTACTCATTAACCCTTAGAAAGAGTTCAGCATTGTTTGATTTTATTGTGGATATTTGATAGAATTATAAAGGAAACTTAAAAAAATTAATAAATAGAGACAGGGTCTCACTATGTTGTCAAGGCTGGTCTCAAACTCCTGGAGCTCAAGTGATCCTCTTGCTTCAGCCTCTCAAAGTGCTAGGATTACAGGCATGAGTCACCACATCCAGCGGGTAAAGGAAACTTTGAAAAACAAATGTAATCTTAGGCAATGAGTTTCAGGTGAATTAATAAGAGCAGATATAAATTTTGCTAATCAAGGTTTGAAACCAAGTGTTAAAATTTAGTAAGTCTGCAAAAAATTTACTTGATCCCCCAAATTTTCACTAGTTTAATTCATATCGACCAATGCTGCTTGACATTCCTATTGGCCAATTTCACCCTGTTGAACATCTTCCCTTATATTGTTTTTCCCTTATATTATATTTCCAGAAATACTTCTCCATCTATTCTGTGTCAGGTACTGTGCTGGACAGTGGAAATAAAAATGAATAAGTCATGGACTATTTCTACCTTGGAGGGCCAGGCCAACTGGGGATATAGACACGTAAACAGATGAATTTGGACCCCACTTGAGCCATGCACAACATCTAGCACAGTGCTATGCTTCTGACTCATTGTCAACACATATTTATAAACGATTGAATGTTCAGGGTGTTGGGGACCCCGGAATAAATGGACTTGGTCAAACTTGAGGGTAGATTTAAGGCAGGGTTCTGAAGAAGCTATCCTTGCCTCTGGGAAATAGACTCACAGGGCCCACTTAATACAAATTCCTGTAGAAGTCAAATAATAAAAGACAACTAGTAAAGAATTCTTCATTGTTCCTTAAGCCTGGCTTAAGTCTGACTTTTCTTTTAAAAGAAGATCTTGGGCATCTGGGCTAAAGTTTAGTTCCATGAGATGAATTAGCTAACCTTGCTTTTGTTTTTAGTTGTGTTTAAATCAGGAATTTCCTTACTTTTCAAAATTCGCTCTAGAGTTGATGCCAGTACTCTTACACCAACAAATCAAGAATTTGTTTTGAAAGCTGCCTCAGAAGACGTTCAGATATTCTTTGAAATACAGTAATAACTACGTGGATTTTTGTTGACAGAGTTCCAACAGAAGAATTTTGCAATATAAGCTAAGTTTTTTTTAAAAGGCAGTGCAAGCTACAAATACTTGATTTGCTCATCTTTTTTCTACTCCATGTGGTATGTACTATAATTAATCAAACACCTACATTTTCAGCCAATGCTATCTTTTACATTTTAGTGTAAAATTATGTAAGTGCTATACCTTGCATAGAATTCAAATTGAATAGCCCAAACATTCCTGACAATTACAGTTCATAGCACAATGGTAAATTTAGAAAGTTACAGCAGGTCACATCCAATGAGGATAAAGTGGCCTCTCAGTTGTGCCCTGGTCTTATGGGAAAAATAAGAAAATGTCAGCTGCATGATATTAGTATTCTGAGCTCATGAGAAAACTCCTGTACAAAATTTTGTTTTAGTCTCGTGTGTGTGTGTGTGTGTGTGTGTGTGTGTGTGTGTGTGCATGTGCATGTATGCGCTGCAATTCCTTATTTTATTCTCACTGCCTGGTATTTCATTAAATATGTTGATGGGTCAGCATTATTCCCTTCCAGGGGCATTACAAGAGGCCCTTCCTTATTCCTAGGACATTCATGAGCAGAGAAATGGGAAGGAGTGAAGCGAAATCCAGTGTCTACAGAAAAACTGGGCCATCTCCCAGAGGTCACTCTATGGCCTCTATCTTTAGTCCATGCCCGTCTCTTGGACTTTTTAGCCTTGCATTTTTAATTCCCTACTCTACAGTGACAGCACTTCAAGTTCAATCCGGTCAAAACCAAACTGTGTTCTTCTCTCCAATTTTAGGGTATTCTGTTCCCCTAAATTATTGATCTTTATTGAAAGTGTCACTTATTACACGCAAAAGCTAGAAGTCTCCAACTTTTCCCTAGTTTCTCCTTTTCCATAAACTTTCAGAGTCAATTTCCCCCAAGTTTTACAGCTTTTTTTTTTCTATATATGACTAATACTTTGTTTTCACATGTCCCTGATGACACTGCTTATCCTCATCACATGCTAGAGTGGTAATTTTAAAATGGACATTCTGATCTTGCCTTTTCCTGTCTTTTACTTATGGTGTAACACTCAATCTCCCTATTAGGACATACAAAACATTAATGGTCTGGGCCCTACTTTACTTTTAGAGTTTTACTTCTTTCCTGTTTCCAATATGATCTTTATAACTCCTTATACTGAATTTATAGTTTTCTCTATACTGTGTTCTTTCGTGCCCCTATGACATTGCACTTGCTATTCCCTGGGCTGGCTCTGTTTTCCACCTGACTTATCAGCAGGAACCTTTATCAAACACTATATTGCAATCTCTATTCTAAATGTAAATAGTAAAACAAGTTTGTAAAACAAACAAACAAACACCTATTGCTTAGACTACTGCCTCTACATGGATCTCCCTGGGTCTACTTTTCCCACTTCTGTTCCTGGTCTATCTTGTAGCTAAAGGTTTTTTTTTTTTTTTTTTTTAAACTTCAAAGATTATAAAATCTTTGAGGGGATGAATCATGTTTATTTCTTCTACATTCAATCCCTAGCATCTAACACAGCGCCTGGTACATAGTAGGTACTTCAAAAATATTTCTTTGATTCTCATCTCAGCTAAATAACTCATTGTTAAGGACAGATTAAATTATTTCAACTATTTATCATAAAATAACCTGCTGTTTGACTGATTTATTTTCGCTTGAGAAATTGAAAGCTATAATTTTTTTCCAGTAGGTTTACATATTTAGATAGATACAGCTAGATCCTTCCAGTAATTTAATCAAGTCAACTCAGTGAGTTAAACTGGGAAGCAATTTTCTTCTTATACAGTACACATATTACATATTCTTTAGTCTCTTAAAAAATTTTATGTTAAAAAGATTTGTTGACACTGTTGTGCACCAGTGGGCTGGCATGATGGGAGTGAGAAAAGGGATGCAAAATGCCTTTATATATATCTTTCAGTATAATGTCGACTTATTAGAATTGGAATTTTTCCTTCTAAAGCTCACCATTTGCACTCAGTGTCCATGTAAATTGTCACAAATATGCAAAAGATGCTGAAAGCTGTGCATCCCCATTTGCGACCCACATACTTTGGAGAATGGGGTGAATGAATAAGTTCTCAAAAATTATATACACATTAGAAAAATGGGCTTTTGTCATCTTACAGATGACAATGGACTTTTTTTTTAAATTAAAAACCAAGCTTTGGCCGGGCACGGTGGCTCACTCCTGTAATCACAGCACTTTGGGAGGCCGAGGCGGGTGGATCATCTGAGGTCAGGAGTTCGAGACCAGCCTGACCAACATGGAGAAACCCCATCTCTACTAAAAATACAAAATTAGCCTGGCATGGTGGTGCATGCCTGTAATCCCAGCTACTCCACAGGCTGAGGCAGGAGAATCGCTTGAACCTGGGAGGCGGAGGTTGCAGGGAGCTGAGATTGTGCTATTGCACTCCAGCCTGGGCAACAAGAGTGAAACTTCGTCTCAAAAAAAAAAAAAAAAAAAAAAAAAAAAGAAAACCCAGCTT